>NC_000002.12:194156284-194459314 GCF_000001405.40 Homo sapiens
ATGAGGGCATTGCTCTGGGGTCTGATCTCTGCAATGTGGGAAAGAGCGATGACGTACTCTTACAAGTCTGGTTTCCCCATGCATCCTTGTCCTGGTATAGTGCCAATATGCAACACATTCCTTCAGGATTGGTATCCCATCCTAGGGGAAATGGAACCATCTGTGCTGAGGTCATCCCCAGCACACGTGTACCAGTTACTCTTGTTTAGGGATTGTACTGAAAATTTGACCCATTCGACCCAGGCATTCACATCTCTGTACCCTGTCTCAATTTCTAAGGGTTGCCTTAAATCCTTTACCTCAATCGTTTTTAGTCTTGAAGGGTCATTATTTGGTGGACCAAATTGTTTACTAGGGTCTGGGGTTGGAGTAGTCCCAGGAAGATGGGAGGTTGTGTTCTTGATTACTTTGAGAACAAATTACCCTAGTGGGGGGGTGGATCTTTCCCTGTGAGGTCTGCCCCTAACCCATATACCCAAGATGCTACTTTTGGTTCTTGGTCTAGAACGGTTAGATCATCAATGGTGATGAGTAGAGGACTGCATTCTAAATTCTGGCAGTTATGTGGTGGGGAGCCCTTGGACAGATGTAGTTTATTCTTCAAGGGTCTCCAGCTTGGAATTACCCACCCCATGTTTACTGTCCAACCCTGAAATTGAGTAGTCCACCATACGTCATCCCAGCTGGGGCAGGGTGATGCCCTACAGTAACTTGTATCTGGTTCAGGGCAAAGATATTTATCCACCTGTGAGAGTTGTCTCTGATTTTCCAGATTTGCACAAGGTAAGACCTGGCAGGCATCACATCTTATAATCTGGAGTGCTACCATCTTGGTTACATTAATTGCCAACCTGACTGGGTAGGGAGGAGTCCCCCACCAGTTTCCATTTTGACCTTCTGCTCTTTGTATAGTAGCATATCCTAGCCATATTAACTTCCAGAAATGGGACCAGCCCATGTTTTCTTTTTAGATTTTTCTCAGAATTAACTTAAGAGTTCCTTAGGTGACCCATGCACTTTCCACTGGTCTTTTTTCCTCCCTCCCGGGGTCTGTTTTATCAGTTCCTTGACTCGAGTATAGTGAATCCATCCCTGTTCAGCTGTTTGGACGGCCACCTCAGTGGTCAGGGGCATTTGATAGGAACCTTCCCAGCTTGGGTGGAGCTCATCCTCTTTCCATGTCTTAATCAGCACCAAGTCACCAGGCTGGAAGTGGTGAACTGTGAACTGAAGAGTCAGAGTTTGAGTCAGAAGTCCTTTTAATCTAATGGATAATAGGGTGGAGGACATGACAAGTATATAATTTCTTAAGAAATGATCCTTGGTTTCCACAGTAGGGAGATTTCTAGCTCTGCCCAAATATGATAGCCCACATAATAACTCATAGTGGGACAATCCCCAGTCTTTTCTTAGGGCTGTCCTAATCCAAAGGAGTGCTATTGGGAAAAATTTGGCCCAAGGCATTTTAGTTTCTAAGATTAGTTTGGTGAGATGCTTTTTGAGAATGATTCATTCTTTCTACATTTCCAGAGGAAGGATGATTCCAAAGGGTGTAATAATCACATCTAACTTGTAAATCTTCCATAATTCCCCTTAACACCCTTGAGATAAAGTGGCTCCCATTGTCTGAATCAATATTTTCCACCAGGTCAAATCTAGGTACATTCTGTTTTAATATTATTTTGTCCACCTTCCCAGTGGTGGCTGTTGGAAGGGAAAGGCTTCCACCCAGTTGGAAAGGTGATCTATGATCACCAGTAAATACATTAGTCTCCCTCCTTTGGGCTGTTCTGTGAAATCCACTTGAATACTTTGAAATGGTCTTAGTCTGGGAGGTCTTCCTCCTGTGGCCTGTTTTCTAATCACCTTTTTGTTTATTCTTTGACGAGTTACACAACTTCCACATACATGTTTAGCAAGGGTATAAATCCCTATACAGCCATAATTCCTAAGTATTGCATCACACAGAGCCTGGGATCCCCAGTGACTTCCTTTGTGTAATATAGAAATTAGTTCTCTCATCAGGGATTTACTTATCATTTCTCTCCCATCAGGAAGTACCCACTTCCCATCTTCAGTTTGAGTGACCCCTATCCTGTCTAATTCTTCCTTCTCCTCTCTGGTAAACTGGGGCCTTAATACTACCTTAGAGATGTTTGGGATCAGGCTAATTAGTCTAATTTCTTTCTGCAGGGAGGCTTGCTTAGCAGCTTCATCTGCAAGTCTGTTTCCTACAGCTTCTATAGTTTTCCCTTTCTTATGACCATTTACATAAACTATGGCTACCTCTCCTGGAAGCAGGAGGCTTTCTAAAAGCTGTTTGACCAGTTCCTTGTGTACCAATTATTTTCCCCTGCTATTTATTAGGCCCTGCTCTGTTCCAGTTTTTCCAAAAGTATGCACCACCCCATAGGCATATTTAGAATCAGTATATATTATACCTTCCTGGCCTTCAAGGAGTTTTAGGGCCTGGCTAAGAGCATATAATTCACAGTTCTGGACCGACCAGCCATTAGGTAATCTACCTTTCTCACATAAGGATTGTTTATTTCCATAAATGACAGCATAATAATTATGTCTTTTGCCATGTATCACTCAGGATGACCCATCTACAAACAGCCTTATCCTATCATGCAGTGGAGCTTCCCTAAGGTTGTTCTAACTTTGGTTTGGTATTCTATGATATCCAAGCAGTTATGATCTAATAATGTCTTTGTTCTCCTCACCTTTCCATAGGAAACTGGCGGGATTCAGGCAAGTATTTGTTGTTATGACCAAACCATCTTTTTCTAGTAATGTGGCTTAATATTTTGGAATCCAAGAATCCATTAACCATCTCCCAGGTTTTTGATTTAATATATTCCTGACCTGGTGTGCGGTGCTTACTATTAGGGCCCCACCAAAGGTTAGCTTTCAACTCTCCTCTACCAGCGGGGTTGTAGCAGCTAATGCTTGCACACATTTGGGCCATCCTTGAGAGACAGGATCAAGAAGCTTGGAGACAAAAGCAACTGGTTGCCTCTTCCCCTCCAGGTTTGAGTGAGCACCCCAAGGACCACACCCTGGTCTACTGTTACACACAGATGGAATGGTTTCTCTAAAGGTGGGAGGGACAGGACTGGGGCTATAATGAGGGCCTGCTTTAGCTCTTTCACTGCCTGAATTTCCTCTTGGGGCCATTGCAAGGGATCAAGTTCCTCTTCTTGTAACTTGAGATACAGAATCTTTGTCTTTTGAGCATATGAGCCAATCCATAACCTACAGTAGCCAGTTAAACCTAAACATTTTTGGAGTTCTCTCTTTGTCTTAGGCAATGGCAGACCCACTATTTCCGATATTCCCTCTGGGCTTATTCTCTGCTTCCCTTCACTAATAAGGTGTCTTAAATATTTAACTTCTTTTTCTACAAACTGCAATTTGTTCTTAGAGACCCACAATCCCCTTTCACCTAGGAAAATAAACAAGCTTATGGTGGTTTCTGATACCTTGGCCTTCCTCGTCCCAGAAATTAAAAGATCATCTACATATTGTAACAACTGGGTTTCCCTGGAAGGTTGGAATACCTCCAGGACTTTTTCTAATATTTGACCAAATACGTTTGGGGCTTCCATGAAGCCTTGTGGCAGCATAGTCAAGTGGTACTGTTGTTTTCTCCCAGTTATAAGATTTTCCCATTCGAAGTCTTAGAGGCCCATAATCCTAAAGTCTAGGAGATATGCCCAGAATGCATATTTTAGTTCCACCACACAGAACCACTTATGTTCATAGGGTATCTTACTAAGGAGGGTGTAGGGGTTAGGCACCACAGGGTGGTGGGTCTGAACGATTTGGTGTATAGCCCTTAGATCTTACACTAATCTATATGAACTAGCACAGGCTTTTTGACTGGGAGAATTGGAGTATTGTATGGTGACATGCAGGGTTCTAATAGTCCATCTTTAATAAATCCCTCTATTACCTGTTGGAGATATTTTCTCCCTTAAATAGAAATAGAATATTGTTTTCTGCAAGCTATTTCTCCTGGTTGTTTTAGTTCAATCTGTAAGTGTGTGATTTTTAACTCTCCCCTGTTGCCTTCCCTAACCCACACAAGGGAATTAATTTTTCTTTCCTCCTTCTGTGTTAAGGGCCATCATCGCTTGTATTTGTCCTTCCTCTATTCCTAATCCTAAACCCAATCTCACAATCAAGTCTCCACCAAGGAGGTTAGTTCCTGCTTCAGGAATATATAAGAGTGACATCTCAATTTGTTCTGATGTCAACCTAATTACCATTTTTTGAATATCAGAATGTGAAATCCCTTTTACTCCTGATACAGCCAATTTTTCCTTAGAGAGTTCTGTACCCCTTGGTTGGTGAATTAGGGAGGTGTGAGCCACCTCAATATCAACCAAAAATGTCACTTCTTCTCCCTTAGGTCCCACCTTCAAATTTATCAAAGATTCCTGGTGGGACCTGCTTAGAAGAAACCCCTGACCATACTAGTCTTCATCAATGGTCATGAGGGGTATCACCTTTTCTTCTTTCTCCCATTCAGAAAATTCTCTCTTAAAATGTCCTGGCTTTCCACACTTGTAACATCTACTCATAGTCTTAGGAGCTCGTCCCAGCATTTCCCTTCTTTCTCTGTGTCAAAATCTGTCATTCCCTTGTCTCCTTCAAGGAGGCTGTTGATCTAACCTTTTTCTGCCTACCTCTTGCACAGTCGAAACAATGATTTTAGCCTTTTTTTTTTTTTCCTGATTCTCTTCCTCTCTCCTTACAAAGACCTTCTGAGCTTCCCTCAGTAATTCCTCAATTGGTTTTTCATTCCATCCATCAATCTTTTGTAATTTTTTTGTAATGTCAGGCCAGCTGTTAGTTACAAAGTTAACTTTCAAAAGGCCTTGCCCTATTGGGTCCTCCAGATCTAATCTAGTGTGTTTTCTCATCTGATCTCTGAGCCTCTGCAGAATGCAAAGGGAGTTTCCTCTTTTTCTTGTTGAATCTTGAATGTCTTTGAGACATTTTGTGTCCTAGGAGTAGACTCTTTGATCCCTTTAATTATTAGTTCCCTGAGGTCTTGCATTTGGGCCTTGTCCCTGGAGCATTATTATCCAATTTGGAATTGACATTTGGAAATTTTTGTTTGGCTGGCAAGACTCCTTGCTCAGGAGGGTATTGTTTCTCCCAGATGGCCGTGGCCACTCTCCTAATTATTCACCTTTATTATTCTGTGAATAGGATATTCATGATAGACATCATTTCAGCCTAGGTGTAAAAGCTGGGTCCTAGGAATTAGTGCAGTTGGTCTGCTAAACTGAGAGGATCTTCTAGGAGTTATTTCCTTCTGGAAATTTCTAACTTCAGCACTTATAAGAGGAGCATTTACAAAGCCAATATCTCCCTATCCTATAGGAACTTCCCTAAGCAGGAACATGCTAGATTCCTGCTATGTGCAAGGGGTAGGGAAGTTCACAACATCCTTCTAACATTGTTCAAATTATTTTCTTAAATTTGGATAAGGATTTAAAGGAGCAGTTGGTTTAGCTTCCCCATGGTCTTTGGGTCTTTCTTCCTCTAACCCTCCTGCTTCCCCTTGATCTTCCTGTCCTCTATTTTGTGAGATGTATGGAGAGGCAAGCATGACAGGGGGTCCTGGGGCTTTTCCCTGGGAAAGGGATTTTTACTAGGTTCTTTTTCTTCTTCTTGTGGGGGTGGGTTTTATCATTCACATAGAGAATTAGAGCTTGGCACACCCAATCCTCATCTGGCCAAACTTAGGCCAAAAGAACAAAGGCTTACAAATGGGGTCTTTGGGACAGATAAAACAGCAATATTTTATTGTCTTTTGCTTTTCCTTGTCCCTGTTTCATGGGTTGTTCCTCCAAACTACAGCATTCTCCCCTAAGGACTATCTTGGGGAATGTCAGAGAGAGTCTCTTGGCTTCCTCTTTCCTTAGTCCTCTAGGCTTAGAATTTCTGTTTCCCATTTTGGGTCAGTCTGTGTGTCAGCTTTTCCCTGTGTACTCAATTCCCACTACTGGAGGTTTCTTGCACACCCCAACAATTGTTTCATCCATCTCTGGCCGTTTCCCTCACGGTAGAATAGAACCGTGTACTGGGACACCGCATTGACGACATATCTAGGATATGTCTCAGTCACAAACCCTTGACCTCTGAAAATGCCCAACTACCAAGGCAGCACTTATAGTCCAATTCTCCTACCTTGGCTCTTGCATGAGATGCCCTGATTGCCACAGTGCCTGCTTTTCTCCTCTTTTTCTCATTTCTGCTGCCTCCTGAATAATAGTCTCAGATTTGTCTATGGCCTCTGTGGGGAGCCGGGATGCCCTGATGGAACAGGCCACTAAAATTGGGTGGGAAGCATCTCCCTTCTTGGCCAGAGTCCCACTCAACACAGGTACAGAGACCCCAGGTGGGGTCCCAAGTTTGTGAGAAATACATTCACCCTTCCAAACACAAAGAATGGACTTGGAGACACAAAGAACAGCAGAAGCAAGACTTTTAATGGCGGTCTTGCAAGATCAGGTGTCTGGTAGGCACACACACACCCGGGGCAATTAGAGTAGGTAATTTGTCTCCTAGCACACATGTCCCTCCCACAGTTCTTCGTTGGTCAAGTACTATGGGGTTACAATCTCCTTGGATGTCGGCTAAGTTTTATTATCCCCTTATAAGGTTATACCCTGGTCCCCTTCCCCCACTTAAGTTTTGATTTCCCAGTAATGAAACTTTCTTTCCTTCAGTGGGCTGACCCCTCTTCTACATTCTGTTTGCCTATCACAACTTTCTAGGTGCATGAGCCATGCGTTTTGTCACATCCTCAGGCTGGCTGCCAGTACTTAGAATATCATGCCTTGAAAATGGACCATTTAAAATGTTTTCTCACAGTCAGCAGCTAACAGCCACATGTCTGCACAGCACCTAAAATGGTTATTTTAGTATCACACTCTTATGTATGCATAGAGAGCTCAAGATTGTCAATGAACTTTTAATGAAGGCTTCAAACTAATATTAAAAAGACACAAAAAGAAGAAAGAAAGGTAGGAAAACAGGAAGGAAGGGAGGAAAAAAGGAAGAAAGGAAAGAAGGATGAAAGAAAGCAGGAACGGGGGAGGTAGGCGGGAGGGAAAGAGAGATGTGGGCAAAAAAGAGGGGGAGAGAGAGAAAGAGAGAAGATAAAAAAGTACATTTGGAGAAAATAGACAAAGCAGAGAAGAGTAAACTTGAAATATTTGATTGATATCTTTAAAAATCTAAAGATGGAGATAAGCTTTACAAAAGAAATATAAAGTCTTCAAAGCAAAAAGATCCTGTGGAAATTAATTCTATAATGAAATAAATATTTAATATAAACATTGAACTATTAGGTGAAGAAATTTCTCAGGAATTTGGGGGGAAAGACATAGCAACAAAAATTCAAGGGAAACTAGAGCATTCGAAGGTTAATAGGGGAGGTGCCATATAATAATAAACTTCAAGAAAGAGAGAGAGAGAATGTTGCACAGGAATTATTAAAGAGAACTTTAGGCATATTCTCCAGTACCAAAGAACTCAAGTACCAAAACAGTGGCTAAAAAAAAATGTCCTATAGCAAAAGACCTACACACATCCTGAAATATCAGAACATGGAAATACGACATGATCCTAAAGTTTCTGCAAAGTAAAAATCCAGTTAAATGAAGTTAAGAGATAGAATGCCATTTTATTTCTAATAGCATCATTGAAAATTAGAAATAGTGGAGAATACTTTTAAAATACTAAACACACAGTAAAACTTGTATGAAAAATAAAATTATTTACTGAAGCAAACTCCCAATTGAAAACGTGATTTCAATAAAGATATTTTCAGACATGCATGTTCTGAGGGAGAAAATGAACAAACTAGGCACCTTTTGTTCACCCTTTCCAGGGATGTTAGAATGTTCTGTAGCCAAATAAGGAAACAAAGCTCATTTGAGTGTGCTCTAAACACACACACACACACAGATCAGAAGTTGCCTATGACTTCTCCCAAGTGTTTGAGAAAACTCTAAGCCCTTTTTTGTATTATGCATTCTAAAGTACTTAGAATCCTCAAACTAATTCCAATTTGTAAATCTTTATCCATGTGTCACCTTCTGAGAACTGACCAACATGTAGGTAAATTAATAGAGGTTTGATTGATCTATAACTTAATTATTCAATAAATTTCTATTAATCTTCTTTAGGTTCTGGGAAGTCCTGAACTGTACCAATTCTTCCATGAACTAGTCATATGCCTCTGGGAATTCAAGCCCTTCAAGTGAATTGAGGGACAGTTCTTTCCAGTAATATCTGTGGTTGGGGTGTGGGTTGGAGGTGTAGGGAGACAAAAAATAGATAAGTTAAGCCTCAAAGGGATCTTTCAGAGAAACACTCATTTTATTGGCTTAGTTAATATATATTTTAAAGAGGCCAAATTTGATTCAGTGTTTTTCTTGAAGATCTCAGCATAACAATAAGAGAAAGCAGCAGATCATTGAATGTTTTATTATTTTCCCTTATTTTCTAAGGCTATTTTATTAGTTAGAGTTATTCAGAAAAACAGAATTTATGAGAGAGAAAGAAAGGTATTTAAGGAATTGGCTAAGTCCAACAACCATAGAGCAATGTTGTCCTGACTCCATAGTCAAGACACAGCTCAACATAAAATTTCTTAAAACATCATATACACTTTCAATTTGTTCCAATCATGGGGCATTTTCTATTGCATCCCTCATGGGTTTTTCTATTTCTAAATTTTAAATTCTCTGAAGAGTAAAATTTTTGATTCAGAAACATATATTATTTTTGTTTTTGTTGTTTTTGCCTTCTCACCACTTTTGATGTAAAATCTCTTGGCACCTATTTGCTCATCCTTTGTAGCAATATGTCCATTTTTGTGCCTTTCTGGACTGAATTAAGAAAAATTTTCAGGCAAAGGATGTTAAAATACAAAATTAAAAATACACTAAACAAAAGACCATTTCAGTGCATCCACTAAACATGATGCATTTATATTATGATAATATTTCCATTGATGGTACTTAAGGACATACAATGAGGGTTCTTTTGAATAATATCAATATAAGGTGAAAAATATTGCTCTCTCAATGGTAGATTAATGTCCCACAAACCTTAACTGGGCAACTGTGGGACTAAGACAAAAGATTAATATATGAAACAATAATTTTGAACCACGTAAAAATCCCCAAACAAAATAATGTAATTACATGGAAGCATTGTGTCCAGAGAGAAAGAAAAATGAGTTATATAGTTTATATATTTTTAAATCATGATAAACTCATCAAAAGATGGCCTGCATTTTATTATCATTTTATTCTGATTATGGGTCAACAATTCTAAACAATGTCATAGAACACTTCTCTAAAATATATTTCATTTTTCTAAATTCTAAACAATCTTTGTGGCTGCTGTTATTTTTTGTGAATACATGCACAAGTGCCAAATTGGTACATTTCATGATGTCATTTCACATATATTTTATTCTACATGAAACTTAATTCTAAGAACTCTCAAGTATATAGCTTACCACAACACATATAAACTCAGCAATATATATGTGTTTTGATATTAAACTCAAAGTGGTTGATAATTTGTAAGCATATGGTGTCCAAGACCCTGTGTCTCTTCAAATTCCTGAAGTTAAGCAGTAATTTCAGAATAAATAATGAAAGGTCTGATTATAAATATGAAGCATAGAGCATGAGTTTCGAAAATGCTGTCATAGTATGTGGTCAATTGAAGTTTTTGTGTTTAAAATTTGAGACTGTGAAATAGAACATCAACTATAAAGTTAGTTTTTGGTATGTGTAAATTTTAGTCTGTACATGAATATTGAATCATAATTTTAAAAATGAACTCTATTATTCTTTAATAATGGCTTTAAAAATAATGATTAAAAATGTTCATTACCTATTATTGTAGGATTTTTCTGAAAATAATTTTGTTGTCTAGAGATAGAGGAGAGTTAATAACACCTGCATTGAATCTTCTATATATGCCACTGAAAGGGACACATACAACACAACACACACACACACAGACACACATACACAGAAACACACTTTATCTACTTAGTACATTTTAAGTTTCTTGACCTAAAAACCTGTGGACCACACATAGACCACAGTGAATTCTGCAAAAGAAAAATTAGTAGGTAGGACACATTGGCATATAAACAACTGACTCCCTTTGGCAGCTGCCTAAATTCACCATGTTCCTTCATAATCCACTGAACCATTATGACCTAAAATTAGAAGACAATTATTGAGCTCTTACAGTGTAAAACATAAATTAAAATTTCCAAAGAAACATACGTTAAGCCATACATTAATTTTAAAAATGTATTTATCTAGGATGACTATAGCTAACAGTAAAGCAGTGATTATTACAAATAGTTAAAAGAATATCCCCAGAAAGAAATGATAAATGTATGAGGTGATGGGTTACTAACCACCCTTATTGGATAATTTTATATATATATATATATATATATATATATATATATATATATAATATTATATATATGTGTGTATCCAAACATCAAATTATACCGAATAAATAAGTACAATGACAATGATCAATTTAGAAAAAGAGAAAGGTATACTAGAGTTTCTTCTCTCACTGTTCATATATACCAAGGAAGTGCAATGTGAGTACATAGCCAGAAGGTGGCCATCTGCAAGCCAGGAAGAGAGCCCTTATTGAAACCAACCATACTGGCACCTTGATCTTGGATTTTCCAGGCTCCAAAACTGTGAAAAATATAGGACAGTTGTTTAACTTACTCAGTCTATGGTATTTTGTTATGGCAGCCTGAGTTGGCTAAGACATATATTTTACCACAATAACAATTATTTTTAAAAATTGTGAAAATAACGTGCACATGATTTTAAATGTAAACTAGCAGCAAAAATACAATTAAAAAAGAATGTATTGATCTAATTGGTAGAGAAATAAATCACACAAATGTCACATATATATATATAAAATATGTGATGTATTCATATATATGCACATACATATGCCTGTTCATATATGTGTGTATATGTGTGTTAACTTATCTGGAAATTTTAATTTACATTTTACAAGAGCTCAATAATCATCTTCTAATTTTAGGTCACAATGGTTTGGTGCATTATAAAGGAACATGTGTGCATATATATATATGCACACACATATATATATATAACACACACACATTGAGATCAGAAAACGTATTTATTATTTTCTGCTGTGTTAGATAAATTTACAAAGATAAGATAGAAGTTGACCTTCTTCATCAGGTTTTGTGGAATTTTAAAAACTAGAAAATTTTTGACATGCAATCACCCATTCCATGTTATATTATTTTTTAATGATTGTATGTCTTATCTCTTCATTTAAAAAATATTCAAAGGTTAGGGACTTTGTTTTAAGCTTTGTATTCTCCACAGCATTTAAACAGTTTTAAATACTATTTGCTAAGGATTAAAATAATGCATTGCACAACAGTTGCTAGTTTTTATTATCATTATCAAGAGAGATGCAGAATAATTATTCAGGTAAAGCTATTTCAATGTCGACTATAATGCAGGCCTTTGATTCAGAAGTCCTAGGTGTTTTCTTACTATTATTCATAGGCTCTTTACACCTTATATAATCTCACCAGGTACAGGGAATATTTGCTATTAACATAGCACCTCAGGCTGTGCTGTGACATAAATATACTTCCATTTCCATATATTTTCTAGATTATTCAATTATTGTGATTTTCAGAAGAAATAAATAACAAGTGTAGGCTCAATTCTCTTGAGGGTGATTATCCTTAGACAATAGTTACTAGAAATTCATTGTGTTGAGAAGATAGGAGATATATTTACATTCAAATATGTTTGATGTTAGCCTATATTAGTTTTCTTGATCTTTCTATTAAAATACTGAAGATTTTATATTATTTACTTAATGACACTTCTTAATGACAGCTTAGCCACTTCTGCCATTGTATAAATTTGGTATTCAATGAGTAGATTGTTTTGTTCCTAAAATATTTTTTAAAATATATTTATTTTAATTTGTATATACTTTGACAGTTTTTTTAAAAAGCCATTTTATAATTAAAGCTTAGTGGAGTTCACCTAGTTTTTGGTTTGGGTAAAAATTCTTTTCACTAGGTCATACAAACAGGTTATCTTCAATTTCATTATTAATGCTTTTTCTGTCAACACTGTGTCTGAGAATATATACATATATATATATATATATATACTCAGAATATATATATATATACTCAGAATATATATATATACTCAGAATATATATATATATTCTCAGAATATATTCTGAGAATATATATACTCAGTATATATGTATATATACTGAGTATATATATATATACTCAGTATATATATATATATATATATACACACACACATATATATCACGCTCCATCACCCACTGCAAAATGAACTACTTTTTAAATATTTTAGTTCTTATTTTAACTATCTACACTTTTCAATTAATGGTTGTTTTTCAATTTTTGGTTTTATCAAGTTTTCATAAGCTCTAACCAAAGAGGGCTTTAAGGTTCGCCTCAGCTAACTAAACTTTAAACAGGTTCCTTTCCAAATTTAGACTTCAATCTCCATTTTCTTATTTACTTTAGTAAACTTGAAATTGTGAATTCTTTCTCTGCAGCTTTCAGATATAAATCTTCTCCAAGTCTCTTACTAGTTTTACAACCCAGGAATGTCTTTCTTAGAAACTTAGGAGCCACTCTTTTGAAATATAATCATCAAGAAAGATAGTGTTACTTTATTTCAGTCTCTGTCAGATTGGAGGAGCATCACTTTAATAAGCAATGATTAGCAAACATATATGGCCTGATCACACTGACCAGCCTGCCCTCATTCGTTTTTCATTAGTTCACCTCACTGTTAAAATCACCCACCCTTTGTTCCAGCAGAGTTGTGTTCAGTATCTCTCCCCTAACACAATTTTCTTGAGTAAAGTTTTTATTGCCTGTTTAGCTCATTCTGTGAAAATTTACTTTGACACTCACATAATCCTTATTTTGATAATTGAATAATGACCTCCTACAGAAGACCAGAATCCTCTCCTCCAAATATAGATCTATCTGTCATCATTTGAGTTAATCTTTATTGGTTACTTTTGCACACTTAACATACTATTGCAATATGTTTATGTTTCTATCAGCATAACTTAATTTTAATTTGATTTCATAACCTTTAAAAGCATTATTAGTATTAGGAATTTACTTAGAATAATACAATTATTAAGATAAAAATAATCTAGGCATAATCCAATCCCATGGATAGGAAAGACTTTACTGGGACAAATAAAAATATGTATAAATCACAGTTTAAAAATTCACAAAGGC
The DNA here is from genome assembly GCF_000001405.40 of Homo sapiens. Lineage (NCBI taxonomy): Eukaryota > Metazoa > Chordata > Mammalia > Primates > Hominidae > Homo > Homo sapiens. The sequence continues at coordinate 194,169,690 of NC_000002.12, forward strand.
ATTTTCCCAATGTCATATAAAAAGTATAGGTGACATCTGGTTCAGCATTTCAGTCAGGTTCGATTATGGTGAATGTAATGATTTGGTACACCAGGAGAAATATTGAGATTTTCAAAAAGACTAAGATGGTGACTGGCTCAGGGAGCTGAGCTGCCACTGTTGAGACTCTGTGGAGCCTGCACACCTTTTCATCTGTGCTGCTACTAGCACCTCTTCTTTCTAATCACAGAGCTTCATGTATGCGAGAATTGTTCTGTCATCATATAAGCACTGTAACAGACCTCTCTTCAAGAATGAAATGCTCTAAATAGCTTGTGGATCTGGCTTACAGCGTATTATTGGACACATATGGTTTTATAGGAAAAAGTTACAAGTCACCATAAAAAGAGTTAAGAGTAGATTCAGGGAAATAGCAGCAACTGATAAGAAGTTTAGACTACATGTTCTAAGACAAAAAAGAGAATGAAATTTTCTCAAGCAAAGAAGAGGTTTAGTAAATATATTCTTATGGAATTGTTAGAAATTGAACTTCTTATTGTCCAGGAAGTATGGAGATCTAATTTTTCTTTATAAAAGTGTTACAGGAATCCACCATTTTTATTCTTTCTACACAGCATAATGATTATTTCCTAGTTCTATTGATAATTAAGTACTTTCCACAAAATACATTTATTATTAAAAATATAAATCTCTCTATATTATCCTTTTAATAACTTGTGCATAAAAATTACCTGTTTGAGACATTCAACAAGTTTTTTGCATATAATTACTTTTTCTGAACTTTTAATGTGACTTTTTTTCCTCTCGAATTAAGCAATTAAAAAACTAATGGCTCATATCAATTTTAATGTAATGGTTCAAAATTACACACTTGCACATGTATATAACACTCACATCCACTTAAATATAACTGTGCACACATGCACAGTTATATTTATTTATAGATTGTGTCCTTTGAAAATATTTTCCTAGATTTTGTTTTTTATTTTTCTGCTTTCTACACAATATTTTCTTTTCGAATTCTAGCAGATCATTTGTTTACATTAAAATTTATGAATTTGTCATTTTCTAAACATCCTACAGTCATTTTGCATTATTCTTTTACCCTCACTGGCATGTGCCAACACTCAGCAATTTATTTCATTTGAAAATCTTTATAAATAAAATACAACACCAATCCACTCAAATATAAATGTGCAAGAGTGTATGCTAACCTTTGTTTGTTTAGTTTAGTGGGTACATGATTCTGTTTCATGGAGAGAACAGAACAATCAGGATATGATTCTTAGGACACAGGACCTCTGGAATATAGCAGCATGATTAAGAGTGTGCCCTCTGGAGCCTGATTACCTAGGTCTTCATCCTGGCTACTGCCCTTACCAGCAAACTTGTATAAGTTTTTTTTCTGTATTTTAATTTCCTCATGTGAAATAGGGGCAATTCAATATTAATACTTTGATACATATAAAATACTTCAAATACTTACTAGTATGCAGTAAACATTCAATAAATGTTAGTTCCCATTATTAAGTATGGGTTAGAAAAATAATCTAGGAATGAATTTAAAGCACATGATCAGATTGCTGGCAATAAACACTTCAGTTTTCCAGTTTCCTGGAACAACTCATGAATACAATTCACTTGTGGGAGTATTTCATTCAGGGAAAGAAATGTCTTTGAAAAAAATCATTGACCCCTTGTTTTTCAAGGCCTTGAGTTTAGAGACAGAGAAACATTTAATAGGGGCCTACATCCCATGGCAGTGTCTTTGTTATAAAAATTATACGGAAAAAACACAGGTAGCAAAACCACATATTCCTTTTCTTAGAGACACTACAAGGCTTAGAGAGGGATCAATAATGGTCTGTAGGCAGATTTAAAAGAAGAACCTGCCATGTTGAAAAACAGAGTAAGTGATTTGGAACATTAAATAAGTATTATGCTGTTGTGCTCTTGAAATCAGAAGTATAGGGCCGGGCGCCGTGGCTTACACCTGTAATCCCAGCACTTTGGGAGGCCAAGGTGGGCGGATCACCTGAGGTCAGGAGTTCAAGACCAGTTTGGCCAACATGGTGAAACCCTGTCTCTACAAAAAGTAGGCAGATGTGGTGGCACACACCTGTAATCCCAGCTACTCGGGAGGCTGAGGCAGGAGAATTGCTTGAACCTCGGAGACAGAGGTTGCAGTAAGCCAAGATTGCGCCACTGTACTCCAGCCTGGGTGACAGAGTGAGACTGTCTCAAAAAAAAAAAAAAAAAAAAATTAGAAGTATGCAGCACTTTGTATACAGAATTCAGTTTGGTACACATTTAGGATATTGTCTTTATAAGTAGAATACATACTGATCTAGAAAAGTGAAATCCTAGTTTCTTTAATAGCCATTTCAACAAATGCTATCATGAAACTCTTTACAAATAAACATCAAGCTATTCAGACATTTCTACTTAATAAATGAATACAATATATAGTATTGAGTTTCTATATTTGAAAGTATATTGAAATCTTTCACATCCAGTGAATTATATATAATGCAATGTTTATATATAATAACTACTACTCCTGGATAAACCAAAAGACAAACTGCAAATCCGAATTGAAGATTCTTCTCCTAAAACTAGCGATGAATTGAAAATGTTACCCAAATATAAAACTAGAGTGTCTTCTACCAGAGTAACTTATAACAGAATGGAAATCTGCATAGACATCCACGTTTTTCATTTATTGAAATAGCTGTAGTACATCATCTCTTACATGTTGTTTATCCTAAAAAACAGAATATCTACACGTGTTAAAGATGATTTTTAATTTTTATAAAAAGTAGAATATACTTTACAGCAGGAAAACAAGTCTAAGAAAAATATATTAACTGGAATGTTTTTTTGTCTGGACTATTTCAAGTGAATTCATTTGTATTTTTCTTTCCCTGTCAAATTGATTTCCACTTACTTAAAATTGACTTCTCAATTTCCAGCTCCCAGAAGAGTCTAGTGTTCTGGTTGAGAGAACTACCTAAAGCTCAACTCAAAATCTAAATCTTTTCTAGTATCAAAATATGTTTATAAGAAGATGTTTAGATGTCAATAGGGAGGGGAGGAGGGACAAGGTTTTATTAGACCTGTCATTCAGAAAATTATTTTGATGAAAATTTTCATCACTTACACCAACTGCAATTTATTCATGGTCTTGGGAAAATAGCATACCTATGATAACACACGCTTCCTCAAATATAACTTTTATATATAGCCAAAGAGTCAAAATCAGGCTAAATGTGATAATATCTTAATTGATATTAATAGGTAAAGTTTATAACATAAATATTTCAAAAATATAAGGTTATGTATTCTCTCTTAATGTGTTGTTCTTTCTATCCTTTATCAAATTTGTACTTCTTATCTTCTCAGTACAGAATTCAGTGCTTCCAACACAGGACCTACATCATAGCAGAAATTTAATAAATATATTTTAATTAAATGTATAAATGAGCAAATGTATCCAAAAATCTTACAAGTTTCATGTGCAGAAATATTACAGCATTATTTAATACAGTGAAAAGCTAATAATCTAAAAGCTAATAAAACAAATAGTTTACTATTATAATCCCTGTGAATGCAGAACTATCATTAAAACTGAACATCCCATGTAACATTTAGCAAGAAGACTGAGGAATTTAACAAGACTGTGCATACCTCTACTATTACCCATAATCATACATTGCAGGATATAGTATATGTCTAAGTGCCTATATTCCTACCTTACTCTATTTACCCTGAGCTCCTTAAGGGCAGATACAGTACCCGCTGCATCTTGTGTCTCTACTGGCTGTTGCATAGTATAAAGTAAGCATTCAGTATATGTTTCTTGACTAAATTAATAAAACAAAAACAATTCCTGTAAAAAACAAAGTTACCAAGTCTTAATGAAGAAAACATCTGCCTTGTATGTTTCTACTGTTGGGAATAAAAATAGGGACAAACACTTTGGGGAAAGAAGGAAAAAAGGTTATGAGAAAATAATGCATGCAAATACATCATGGTCAAGCAAGTCTTATTTTCATGTATACATGCTAGAAAGACTAGGTCACATGTACAAAAAAGTGAATAACACACATGTATGAGAAAGTGCATAACACCACTGTCTTTAATTGTTGAGCAGTGGGGGGCTAGGAGATGGATAGCATTAGGAGAAATACTAATGTAGATGACGGGTTGATGGGTGCAGCAAACCACCATGGCACGTGTATACCTATGTAACAAACCTGCACATTCTGCACATGTACCCCAGAACTTAAAGTATAATAAAATAAATAAAATATACAATATATAAAAAAAGAAAGAAAATATCTAACATTAATGTCTCTGTGACACTAGAAGGCAGGGAGAAGGAAGGTGGGCTGAAAAAGCACGCCCTTAAGTCATTATTTGAAGAAATAATGGCTGAAAATTTTCCAAAAAAATAAATAACATCCATGATTTATTGAGCACTTACAAAATACCAAGAATCTCTTTTCTGTGTTATGTGAATTCATAGTGAAATCTTAAGAGTGGCATCTTAAGAGTGGCTTACTATGTATATATTCACATATGTAATTTTTGTATTTAAGCGAACTGAGACTTTTTTTTTTTTTTGAGATTGAGACGGAGTCTTGCTCTGTTGCCAGGCTGGAGTATCTTGGCTCACTGCGATCTCTGCCTCCCTGGTTCAGGTAATTCTCCTGCCTCAGCCTCCCAAGTAGCTGGGATTACAGGTGCATGCCACCACACACAACTAATTTTTGTATTTTTAGTAGAGATAGGGTTTCACCATGTTTTGCAGGCTGGTCTCCATCTCCTGACTTTGTGATCTGCCCACCTCGGCCTCCCAAAGTGCTGGGATTACAGGCATGAGCCACTGCGTCCAGCCTGAGACATTTTAAATAAAAGAAGATTCATTCATTTACCCATAATTATTTAGCTACTAAATAAGAGAGTCCTATTCTTTGGATTCAGAATTCATTATGCTAACCTAACTCAAAGAAATAAACAAAATTGGTCTCTCGTTCTACATATATCAACACAATAATGCATGAACATCAATTGTGATAGATACACATAGTAAAGGAATATAAAGCAAGAAAAATCAGTAAGCTAGAGCTAAATGCACTGACTTAATGAACTTCACAAATAAAATTTTGCGATTAACATTGTACTTATACATTCTACTCTGGCTTCTGACACCCAGACAAATTTTATTTGCAAATCATTTATAGTAATTTCTATTTTTGCATTTGTTATGTATAAAAGAGAAAAAGAACAAATAAAAAGATTCCACTCATTTATGTTACCCAATGAGTTACCATTAGTGCTTTAATGTTTTGATTTACCAAATAAACAACCACAGACTTCCTCATCATCAAAGATTAAGAAATTATTTTACCTTTTTCAAGTGCCATACCTGAACCAGATGATGAGTGCCAGTAGTTTAATGTAATATGTAGTCAATTATTAATTAAACCTAGTTCTTCTAGCAAATTAACTACTTTGCAAGAACATCTGTAGCAGTATTGATATAAGGTCCCAGTTCATTTGATTATCAGTATCAGCACTACCATGGGTTTTGTTACAATCAAATTAAGCTAACCAATTACACCAGTATCACATCAAATAACAGTTAATTAGAATAGTAGTATTGTAAAATAAAAAGCTTAAATTCAGTAGAATTTCTCAAATCCTTCCCAATAAAACCACCCTTTATGTACAGCAAACATTAGTATAAATCAACAGTAAAGACTCCGTTAATTCTGAACTTCAAGTTTCTCGTGGACACTGAGAAATATCCTCTCCCAAACTACAAAATAGTAGTGAAACAGTATCCCAATGTGACTTTTGTTTAAGTCATAACCATCATTCACCAACTAGTAAATTGCATTTTCCACTTATAAATTTACACAGACTGGAGAGGACATAGGTCTCCCATAAATTTATTCCTTACATTTCTGCTGCCAAGATCTCAGCCCATTTACTTTGATCTGCTTCTGACTTATCTAGAAGAGCATGCTTATTAACTCTTCTTGGATAAAATGTTCATGCTACCTCCCATCTTTGTTTCCTAGCATGTTACTTAAATATCTATTTAACTTCTTGCATCTAATTTTTCATAAGAGATGTTATCCATCCAAGCAACTTGCCATCCTTTCCATTTCTCCTGAAATAACGTTGTTTCTAAGTTGCTGTTTCATACTAATAAACCTTCTTTATCTAATGTATTTCTCTATTAAAGGTGAGTTTTCCTGACTTAGGAGTCCTTGACCCATGCCAGCATCATTTAAAATTCTTTTAGAGCATCTTAGCCAGTATTTGTGTTCAATAGACATGTTATCGTCATTGGATATTTATAACATGATCAAGTACGGATACATCATTTTGACCTAACAATGCTGGGTCCACCAAGATAGTGTCATACAGCTGAGAGGTGACAGTGTGCTGGCAGCCCTCGCAGCCCTCACTCGCTCTGGGTGCCTCCTTGGCCTCGCGCCCATTCTGGCCGCGCTTGAGGAGCCCTTCAGCCCCCCGCTGCACTGTGGGGAGCCCTTATCTGGGCTGGCCGAGGCCGGAGCCGGCTCCCTCAGCTTGTGGGGAGGTGTGGAGGGAGAGGCAAGGGCGGGAACCGGGCTGCCTGAGGCACTTGCAGGCCAGCTAGAGTTCTGGGTGGGCGTGCGCTTGGTGGGCCCCACACTTGGAGCCGCCGGCCGGCCCTGCCGGTCCCAGGCAGTGAGGGGCTTAGCACCCAGGCCAGCAGCTGCGGAGGGTGCACCGGGTCCCCCAGCAGTGCCAGCCCACTGGCGCTGCACTGGATTTCTCGCCAGGCCTTAGCTGCCTCCCCGCAGGGCAGGGTTCAGGGCCTCCAGCCTGCCATGCCTGAGTCTTCCCCTCCTCGCACCCCCCCCAACCCCCCACCCCCCCCAACACCCCCACCCCCCCACCCCCCCGTGGGCTCCTGTGCGGCCTGAGCCTCCCCGAGGAGCACCACCCCCTGCTCCACGGCGCCCGGTCCCATCGACCACCTAAGGTTCTGAGGAGTGCGGGTGCACGGTGGGACTGGCAGGCAGCTCCACCTGCAGCCCCAGTGGGAGATCCAATGGGTGAAGCCAGCTGGGCTCCTGAGTCTAGTCAGGACTTGGAGAATCTTTATGTCTAGCTAAGGGATTGTGAATGCACCAATAGGCACTCTGTATCTAGCTCAAGGTTTGTAAATGTACCAATCAGCACTCTGTGTCTAGCTCAGGGTTTGTAAACACACCAATCAACACTCTATATCTAGCTAATCTAGTGGGTACCTGGAGAACTTTTGTGTCTAGCTCAGGGATTGTAAATGCACCAATCAGCACCATGTCAAAACGGACCAATCAGCGCTCTGTAAAACAGACCTATCGGCTCTCTGTAAAATGGACCAATCAGCAGGATGTGGGTGGGGCCATCCTTAACAACATTAAATATTCTTATCTGGGGACATGGAATATTTAATCTATACAAGTCTTCTTTGTTTTTAACAGTGTTTTATAGTTTTAAGTGTACAGATTTAAACTTTTTGCTCTGAAATTAGTTTACTATTTTCTTTGCAATTTGGATTGTTCTTATTCTCTTTTCTTACCTAATTGCCTTGACTGAAACTTCCAGAACAATATTGAGCACAAATGGCAAGACAAGTATTCCTGCCTTGTTTCTGATTTTAGAGGAAAACAACACAGTTTCACCATTAAGTTAGATGTGGATTTTTAATAGATGTTTGTTATTAGGAGGAAGAAGTCTTTTATTTTATTTTTTTCTGCTCTTAATTCTTTAAATGATTTTTTTTTATCATGAAAGGACGTTATATTTTGTCAAATGTGTCTATTGACATGACCAAGTGTATTTTGTCCTCTGTTATATTAATATAGTATATTACAATAATTGATATTATAATGTTAAACCAACCTTGCATTCCTGGAATAAACCTCACCTGGTCACAGTAAATAATTATTTTCATAAATAAGCTGGATTCATTTCCAATATTGTGTTGAGGATTTCTAGTTTATATTTAAATAATATATTAGTCTGTAATTTTCTTTTCTTGGGCTATGTTTGTCTGATCTTCATATCAGAGTAACACTGGCATCATACAAGTTAGAAAGTATTTTTACTCTTCTAATTTCTGACAAGTTTGTGAAAAATTAGTATTAATTGTTTAAATACTTGTTAGAATGCACCATTAAAATCAGTTAGGACTGGGCTTTTTCTTTGTGTAGATTACCTAAATTATTATTTTTATCTTTTTTATATTTCATAAGACTATTAAAAATTTTCTACAGCTTCCAGAGTTAGTTTTGGAAATTGTGGCTTTCAAAAAATGTATTTAACTCATGAAGTTATCTAATTTTCTAGCACTATTTATAGTATTTTCTTATAATACTTTTTTTATTTCTGCAAAGTAATTGCCTTTTGCATTTCTTAATATAGCATGTTATTCTCCCCTCTCTCTCTTTTTTTATTGGTCAATCCTGCTGGGAATTTATTAATTTCATGGCCTTTTTCACAAAAACTATTTTTGTGGAATTTTTCAATTTAAAAAATTTTTAAAAGTATATTTTCATTTTAGTAATTTCAGTTCTAATCTTTTTATTTGTCGTGTCTGCCTGCCCTAGGTTTAATTTACTCTGTTTTCTAGTGTCCTATGGTGAATGGTGAGTATATTTATTTGAGATTTCTTCTTTCTTTCAAATATAGATGATTGTAGCTGTAAATTTCTCTCCAGGCAGTTGATTTAGCTGCATTCTACATGTATTGTTATAATATTTGTTTATTTTTATATATTTCTAAATATTTTTAAATTTTCCTTGTGTGAGTTCTTCATTAATTCATTGTTTTTAAGAGGATTATTGTGGGGCAGGGTGGCTCACGCCTGTAATCCCAGCACTTTGGGAGGCCAAGGCGGGCGGATCACGAGGTCAGGAGATGGAGAACATCCTGGCTAACACAGTGAAACCCAGTCTCTACTAAAAATACAAAAAAATTAGCCGGGCATGGCAGCGTGCGCCTGTAGTCCCAGCTGCTGGGCAGGCTGAGGCAGGAGAATGGCGTGAACCCGAGAGGCGGAGTGTGCAGTGAGCCGAGATCATGCCGCTGCACTCCACCCTGGGTGACAGAACAAGACTCTGTCTCAAAAAAAAAAAAAAAAAAAAAAGGATTATTTTCCCAACTTGACTTGTGTTTTAGATTTCTAATTTTATCCATTGTGGTCAGATAATGTACTTGTATTATCTCAATCCTCTAAAATTTATGGAGGTTTGCCTTATGGACTGGTGTATGGTTTATCATGGAGAATATTTCATGTGTGTTTGAGAAGAATACATATTCTACTGTTAATTGGTGGAGTGTTCCTTGCAAATTTGTTAGGTCTAACTGATTTCTAGTATTGTACAATTTTTCTATATTCTGTCTGAACTACTGCTTTATTGTTCTAATATATTGTGGAAAGTGGAGGTCTGAAGTCTACAACTATAACTGTCAAATTGTCTCTCCCTTTGAGTCTTTCAATTTCTTCTTCATGTACCTTTGGGCTCTATTCTTGGGTGTCTATATGATTATAATTGTTAGATCTTTCTGATAGTTTGTATTTATATCATTATAAAATGTTTCTCTTTAGTTATAATAACGTTTGATTAGAAAGTCTAAATTGTATATTTGTACAGCAGTCCCAGCTCTTTTATCATTACTGTTCGCATAATATGTCTTTTCCCAACATTTTACTATAAATCACCTTGTAATGTTCTGTTTCTTTATTCACTTTACTCTGACTTTTGAATTAATTATTGAATTTATTTGTATTTAATGCTATTATTGATATGGCTGAGTTTGTTATTTTAGTTTTGATTTCTGTATGTCTCATGTCTTTTTTGTTGCTCTCTTCATCTTTTACTGTATTCTTTTGCATTAAGGAGACTTTTTTATAGTGTAAAATTTTACTATCAGTGATTGTATTCAGTATATTGTTTTTGTATTTTTCATTGGTTGCTCTATGGCTCACAAAATACATCTCAAATTATCAGAATTTACTTCAGATTTATACAAGGTTATTACAGTGAGTTACAGAAACTTTAATCCTATACAGCTCTATTCTCTCTTCCCCTTTTTTCGTGTCATCAATGCTTTTCTCTCTCTCGCTCTCTTTCTATACATATAACATACATGTTATATGTATATACAAATTATATAATTGATGCTATATTTATATATAAAATTATATATGTAATGTGTTTATTTATAAATTATATATAACGTATATGTATATAAATTATTCATATTTATATATAAAATGATATACAACATATATGTATATAAATTCATATTTATATATAAAATTATATATAACATATGTATATAAATTATTCATATTTATATATTATATATACATATTTTACATTTATATATAAATTATACATCTATATATAATGCATACATCTAAGCTTATCTGTTATATATATGTTTTACATATATCAATGTGTGGGTATATATGTACACACATATATATACACACATATATATATGCACGCATATATATGTGTGTGCGTGCGTGAGTATATATATATATACACACAGGAAGTTTATATGTGTTGCTATCATGGAGCCTCAAGCTTCCTCTTAATTACTTACCATCATAATCGCCATTGTTTCAATAGCAGTCTTTGGCTTTACTTTCCCCGTGTTCTTTTCCAAATAAAAAGTGAAAGTTATGGGGTTCTCTGTTCTTAAGTCTTGCAGCTCTCCCTGGACATAACCTGTCTGCCATTACTCTCAAGATGGGAAGGGGCGTAACAGTCCATTTATCTGGGAATGGGAACCTGCTTTACAATCAGATTGCTCAAAGAGTAATAGTTTTCTCAAATTGCCTCTCCTGACATGAAGCCTCCCTCTGACTATGGAGCTAGCTAGGGTGAGAGTGACCATTGCCCAATATTGTCCTTCCTTTTCTGTTGTGGAATTTCCACGATAGTAACAGAGATTGGGTGGAAGAAGGAAGCCCCTGACCCCTGGGCTTCACTTGCCTGGAATAGTGCTTCAACAGCATGAAGCTGTGGGGTTATAAAATATGCTGTTGTTCTGACCTTCCCATTAAAAACAAGCAAAAACAAAAACAAAACAGAGCCCTATGCTAGGAGATGGGAGGAGAGGAAGCCTCATCTTTTTGGCACACCATCCTGGAGGAGAGCCTTTATTTCACTAAGCTGGGGCTAGTGAAGTGATAGAATGTGACTTGAATTTACAGATTCTCATTGTTCTTAACAAGATTTAGTAGATTTTTCTAAATAAATAAGTCTTTCTTTCATGAATAATCTTAGGAAAATTTCCAGAGACTTTAGAGGGGTGTGTGTGTGTGTGTGTGTGTGTGTGTGTGTGTGTGACAGAGAGAGAGAGAGAGAGAGAGAGAAAGAGATTTCTATTTTCATCAGTTATGTTTGCTTTTCCAGGGAGAAGATCCAGGGGCACCTTACATCACTATTAGGGAAGTGTCTCTCTTCTTGTGTAGCACTCCTTTTTAATCACATTATCATGTATTACTTTTCGTAATTACCTAAATCTTTCCATTTATTTATGCCTTTTTAAACAAATCAATCAATTTTTTGGATCTGCCAAGTTACATTGGGTATATGGTTTGGATCACCATTTGATCTTGAATAAAAAGTTAGTTTTGTTGATGAGCTGGGCGTGGTGGCGAGCGCCTGTAGTCCCAGCTACTCGGGAGGCTGAGGCAGGAAAATGGCGTGAACCCGGGAGGCGGAGCTTGCCGTGAGCCGAGATCGCGCCACTGCACTCCAGCCTAGGCAACAGAGCGAGACTCCGTCTCAAAAAAAAAAAAAGTTAGTTTTGTTGGACATTTCTGTTTGGATCAATAAAATGCTAATTATATTGTTTCTTGGACAGATTCTCCACTGAGATTAAATTGTATCAATCTCCTCTGCTAAAATCTACTGATTTTCTGGTAAAACTTACACTCCTTACTTTAGAATGCATTCACAAATAATCTCTGTTAGCCTCTAGCTTGTTGTTGTGAACAACAAGAGTTTTCATTTTTCCCATGCATAGCTCAGAGCTCTTAGACATGCCATTTCATTGACTGGCACGCATTTTCTGTATTTATTTCTAATTCGAAACTTCAGTATAACTATAAACTTCCTAGAAGCCCAGCTAAAATCCCCCAGTCTGTTGCCATCTGATTAGTGTTCCCACTTCTGAGATTTTATATTATGCATATTAGGAGATAGCTCCATCACTTATCATAGCTGATTACAATCTTTGAGTTATTTTCTATCTTATTACTAGAATATGGTCAAGAACTTTTGAATCTTCTGAGTTTATAATTCTTCTTTTGACCTCGGTATCTGAGCATTACAGGTACTAAAGGAAAGCTTATTTTTCCTACAAAGCTCTTCTACAAGCAGAGCCCCTGATGACACTCAGTACTTACTTAGTGTAGTACTTTTAATTTAGTGTGAGGGACTAGAAACATTGAAAAGTTATGGAACCATTATTTTTGCTTTGATTTATAATTATTAAGTTATTTAAAATAAAAATAGAAAGTTGAACATTTTTAATAAAAGTATAAGGCCCTTTGTAAATGAGTTATTATTATTTTTAAATCATTATGGCCTACTATATTTTGCAGATATCTTCTAATTTTAAATTGCAAACATTGTTCATTTTTAATTAAAATTAAAATTTGTACATACTAAGTGTCCACTAAGATTTAAAGTATGCTCCTGGATGTGCATTTCTGATTGCTTTCATTTTATATTTTATACTTATAAGTAAACATATGTATAGTTTTACAAGCTAATCCCAATCTTATTTGATCCCCTCACTAGATCTGAAAGGTTATTTTTAATAATTATTTACCAATTTTATAGATAAGGATATTGGAAATTGTTAGAGATTAAATGCCTTTTTCCAAGTACATGATACAGTCTGACGTCTGCCGCTGAACACTTATATTTACATGCACTGAAACCCAATCTTTCTTCTTCAAATTGATAATGTTTCCCTTCTTAAAGCTTTGTCTTTTACATCGCAAAACAGGATAACAGGGAGAAATGACAAATTACAGAAGTGGTTACCTGATAATAAATCTTACTACCTTTAGGTGAATCACTTACAGGACTTTTTAGGATGGTGACAGTGTATTTGGCTTAGGTTTATGTTTTCCACATTTAATGTCATCTTTACATTTTTCAAAAGCCAGCAAGAGTTTGCTATTCAGAAAGAGAGCATCTTACCTTCACAGCAAGAGACATCCTTTTAGATAATCCTTAGAACAAGCTAATGCTGAAAAACCTGATGGTATGAAGGAAGAGACCCATGTTGGAAAGGGAATATGGGTTGTTTACTAAGGGAAGAAACGCCAGTATCAGGCTCAACACTCATCTAACAGTGGGAATACTTGTTACATTAACAAGATTTACTGACAGACTCCATCTGTGTCTTCTCACCAAACAAGGTCACTCAGTCAGATACTATGGAGCCTAATGAGGAAAATGCCAAGTCTCTGGAGTGATAATAGAGGTTCACTCTGACTTACGCCTCAGGCACTGGCAATATTTTTAGGTCTGGAAAATAAAATAAGGCACAGAAAAAGGTCATAATTTTTATCAAGCCAATCCACCTTGAAAAATAGCTGTGCAAGTGAGTATATTTAATATTGTTTTACTTTCTTGAAATTCAAGGTTACTTTTCTCTTTTTCAAAGTGGTCCTGAAGGGTTTCAATACTTACCTGAACATTACATTTATATATGTTATTAGGTTAAAGGGTCTGTGCCACAGCTCTTTTATTTTATATCTAAGAAAGGAAATACCTACAAAATGCTAAAAGGGCTTGTTGTTTTTGTGCATGTAATGTATTATTAGCTCTTTCTTTGAAAAAAAGGCCTCACAAAATTTCTCTGTAGCATTAGATATCACGATATTTCTTAAACTTGGGAATTAGATGTTTGGTTTCATGTCTTAGCACCTGTAATCACAAAGCTATTAAGTAGCTTTTTTACTTGAGCAAATAGCTTATCATCTCTGAACCTGTGTCCTTAATGGACAAATAATGGATTTAGAATAAATAATAATTGAGATCCCTTAAAATGTAAACACTCTCCAGGCTCATTACTTATATATCAAACTTACGTACCTTTTTTTTTTTTTATCAGCAGACCTCTTCAAATACCTATTATAGATAGCCCTAGTTTGATTCATGAAAACCACATGATATTAGAACATACCTAATTTCCTGGTCTGTTTTTATTATCCCTGCACTTTGTTCAAATGCCATCCACTAATTTGGTATTTTCTGTAGATTTATGAAGTCTTAAAGTGTTTTGCTACAGCTTTCTTTATACATTCAAATTTTATTACAGAAATAAAAATAAATTAAAATGTTTCCTAGTCTATCAACTACTTCCACTCCTTTTTTTATTTATCAGAAAGGATTCTCTCTTTAAAAATAAAGCAAACAAACATACAAACAAAAAAAAAATCCACTAAGACATAAATGTCACAATCTGTACTTTATTTACTATACTGAAGTCAAAGATTGCTGAGTAACTGACCTTAAACATAATGGGAAGGGAAGCTTTCACAAGGATAAGACCATGGATATAATCAACATTCACCAAAAACAAATCATGAACTGTAAATTTGCTGACTTATTGTAGTGCAACTGAGTAAAAGCCTCTGTGGAAAATTTAAAGTATTTTATTCAACTAATTTTACTGAAAAGCAATTATTTATTGGTTGCCATGTTTAAAGGATCAGGAAAGACAATTAGTCTAAGTTAAGGCATTTGAATTTGAGGTACCGTTGGTCTAGAACACACCATACAGAGTCCAGAGCTGGTAAAGGTCCATCATTTAGAAGTGATATAGAAAAGAACAAGACAGAGTAAAAGCTCTATGCCATCAGGACTAGAGATTAGTTTGTTAATTAAGAAATCAAATTATGGCAAGAATTAATAATAAAGAAAATGCCTTAAATATTTTAATTTGTAGCTTTTTAAAATTGTATTTATTTATTTATTCATTCATTTTATTATACTTTCAAGTTTTAGGGTACATGTGCACAACGTGCAGGTTTGTTACATACCAACGGTGTGCTGCACCCATTCACTCGTCATTTAACATTAGGTATATCTCCAAATGCTATCCCTCCCCCCTCCCCCCACCCCACAACAGGCCCCGGTGTGTGATGTTCCCCTTCCTGTGTCCATGTGTTCTCATTGTTCAATTCCCACCTATGAGTGAGAACATGCGGTGTTTGGTTTTTTATCCTTGTGATAGTTTGCTGAGAATGATGGTTTCCAGCTTCATCCATGTCCCTACAAAGGACATGAACTCATCCTTTTTTATGGCTGCATAGTATTCCGTGGTGTATATGTGCCACATTTTCTTAATCCAGTCTATCATTGTTGGACATTTGGGTTGGTTCCAAGTCTTTGCTATGGTGAATAGTGCCACAATAAACATACGTGTGCATGTGTCTTTATAGCAGCATGATTTATAATCCTTTGGGTATATACCCAGTAATGGGAGGGCTGGGTTAAATGGTGTTTCTAGTTCTAGATCTCTGAGGAATTGCCACACTGTCTTCCACAATGGTTGAACTAGTTTACAGTCCCACCAACAGTGTAAAAGTGTTCCTATTTCTCCACATCCTCTCCAGCACCTGTTGTTTCCTGACTTTTTAATGATTGCCATTCTAACTGGTGTGAGATGGTATCTCATTGTGGTTTTGATTTGCATTTCTCTGATGGCCAGTGATGATGAGCATTTTTTCATGTGTCTTTTGGCTGCATACTTTTAAATGCATAAATGTAACTGAAACTCTTTCAAATAAGACCTAGCATTTTCTTTGAGTATAAGCCTACTGACTGGCATTGTTTAATTTTTTAATAAACCACACAAAAAATATTTCCTTGCCTCAGTACTAATGAGAAACTATGTGTACCACAGTAACAAATCTCAAAATGACACTATTTCTAGAGTGTCTCTGCTTACTAAACCAGCGTAAGAATGTTCACACATTGAGTTACAAATTTTTACAATAGTTCCCTCATTCCTTACCATCTTGAGGCCTTTTTAAAAATGTAGCATAATAATATAGTTTTGATATAATTAATGTATAAATTTTAAAATTTACATAAATATCAGCAACTCCAATTTTATTATACAAAAATTAAACACTATATTTCTTATGTCCATGTAAAAATATTATTTCATAATGCATTTCAAATTTCAGTATTTTTATTAACACATAATAACATGTATTAATACCTGATACATATTTATGGAGTACAGATGATTTTTGATACATGCATACAATGCAAAATGATCACAACAAGGTATTTATTATATTCATCATCCAATCATTTGTCATTTCTTCATGATGGAAATATTCCAAATATTCTTTTCCAGGTATTTTGAAATAAACAATTAATTACTGTTAACTATAGTTATCCTGTAGTGCTGTCAAAAACTAGAACTTATTCCTTCCATCTAATTATATGTTTGTGCCCATTAACCAACCTCTTTTCAGCCCCATACCCACCCTTCCCAGCCTCTGGCATCTATCACTCTACTCTCTACTTTCATGAAATCAATTTTTATAGCACCCACAGGTGAGTGTGAGCTTGTGATATTTGTCTTTCTGTGCCTAGCTTATTTAACAAAATGACCTCCAGTTCCATCCATGCACCCGCCAATGACAGGATTTTATTTTTTTATGATAGATAGAATTCCATTGTGTATATATACCACGTTTGCTTTATTAATTCTGTTGTTGATGGACAGTCAGGTTGATTCCATATCTTGGTTATTGTGAATAGTGCTGCAATAAACAAGTGGGGTACAGCTATCTATTTGATATGCTGATTTCTTTTCCTTTGAATAAATACCATCAAATGAGATTGCTGGATCCTATTGTAGGTCTTTTTTTTTAGTTTTATGAAAAATTGTCACACTGCTTTCCATAATGGCTAAACTAATTTACATTCCCACCAACAATGTGTAATAGTTCCCTTTTCTCCCAGTCCTTTCCAGCATTTATTTTTTATTTCTTTGATAATAGCCATTCTGAGGTGAGATGATAACTCGTTGCCGTTTGAACTTGCATTTCCATGATGATTAGTAATGTTGAGCATTTTTAAATATACATGTTAGACATTTGTATGTCTTGTATGTCTTATTTTGAGAAAAGTCTACTCAGATTCTTTGCCCACTTTTTAATGGGTTTATTTATTCTTTTGCTGTTGAGTTTTTTTTCTTCTGAATTCTGAGTATTAGTCCCCTGTCAGATTAATAGCTATTTCTCTCAATCTAAAGATTGTTCTTCACTCTGTTTCTTTGCTGTCCAGAGCTTTTTATTTTAATGTAGCCCACTTATCTATTTTTGTAGAGGCATTTTGCCTGTGCTTTTGAAGTCCCAGTCATAAAATCTGTGCCTAGACAACTGTCCTAAAGCATTTCCCCTGTTTTTGCCTAGAAGTTTTATAATTTTAGGTCTTATGATTTAAACACTTAGTGTTACTGTGATGTATCACATTTATTAATTTGCACGTGGTGGAGGTATGTTCATCATTTACTTCCTTCTGCCTGTGGATGCCACTGAGGAAGCATTGTTAAAGTCTCTCTTCCCCTTGCCATTATGTCTAAATCAGAGTCTCCTAAATAGCCCGAACATCTGAGGAAGCTCTTCATTGGATGGTTGAGCTTTGAAACAACTGATGAGAGCCTGAAGAGCCATTTTGAGCAATGGGGAACGCTCACGGACTGTGCGGTAATGAGAGATCCAAACACCAAGCGCTCCAGGGGCTTTGGTTTTGTCACACATGCCACTGCAGAAGAGGTGGATGCAGTCATGAATACAAGGCCACACAAGGTGGATGGAAGAGTTGTGGAACCAAAGAGACCTGTCTCAAGAGAAGATTATCAAAGATCAGGTGCCCGCTTAACTGTGTAAAAGATATTTGTTGGTGGCATTAAAGAAGACACTGAAGAACATCACTTAAGATAATATTTTTGAACTGTATGGAAAAATTAAAGGGATTGAAATCATTACTGACCAAGACAGTGGCAAGAAAAGGGGCTTTGCGCTTGTAAACTTTGACGACCATACCGTTACTGGGAATGACCACAACTATGAAGTTAGGAAAGCCCTGTCAAAGCAAGAGATAGCTAGTGCTTCATCCAGCCAAAGAGGTCGAAGTAGTTCTGGAAACTTTGATAGTGGTCTTGGAGTTGGTTTCAGTGGGAATGACAACTTTGGTTATGGAGGAAACTTCAGTGGTCTTGGTGGCTTTGGTGGCAGCTGTGGTGGTGGTGGATATGGTGGCAGTGGGGTTGGCGATAATGGATTTGGTAATGATGGAAGCAATTTTGGAGATGGTAGAAGCTACAATATATTTGGCAGTTACAACAATAGGTCTTCAAATTTTGGACCTATGAAGGGAGGAAACTTTGGAGGCAGAAGTTCTGGCCTCTATGGTGGTGGAGGCCAATCCTTTGACAAACCATGAAACCAAGGTTGCTATGGCGGTTCCGGTAGCAGTAGTAGCTATGGCAGTGGCAGAAGATTTTAATTACTGCCAGGAAACAAAGCTTAGCAGAAAAGAAGAGTCCGATAAGTGACAGGGAAGCTACAGGTTACAACAGATTTGTGAACTCAGCCAAACACAGTGGTGGCAGGGCCTAGCTGCTACCAAAGGAAAAAAAAAATGTTTCAGACAAATACTCATGTGTATGGCAAAAACTAGAGGACTGTATTTGCGATGAGTTGTATAACAGGTTATTTTAGTTTCTGTTCTGTGGAAAGTATAAAGCATTCCAACAAAAGGTTTTAATGTAGATTTTTTTTTTTACACCCATGCTGTTAATTGCTAAATGTAATAGTCTGATCATGATGCTGAATAAATGTGTCTTTTTTTTTTTTTTTTTTTTTTAATGTGCTGTGTTAAGTTAGTCTACTCTGAAGCCATCTTGGTAAATTTCCCCAGCAGTGTGAAGTTAGAATTCCTTCAGAGTAATGCCAAGTCCTATTTGGAATTTATATACAGTCTGCTTGGGTGGAGAAGCCATTGTCTTCAGAAACCTTGGTGTAGTTGAAAGATAGTTACCGTTATGACCCGAAGTTCACCATTAAAAGGGATCACCCAAGCCACCCAAGCAAAATCATGGAATTATTGGTTATAAAAATGATTGTGGCCACATCTGATGCAATATATCTAAATTGAATGATGGTACCAGATAAAATTATAGATGAGAATGAAGCTTTTGTATCATCCATTATCATGTGTAATCAATAAACGATTTAATTATCTTGAAAATAAAATAAAATAATTTGCATGTTTTGAACAATGTTTGCATCCCTGGGATAAATCTGATTTGATCATGGTGTGTTATCTTCTTAATATGTTGTTGGATTTGACTTGCTACTATAATGTTGAGGATTGTTTCATTTATATTCATCAGGTTTATTTTCTTCTAGTTTCCTTTTTTGTTGTGTCCCTATCTAGTTTTGGCATTAGGGTAGTGCTGACCTCATAGAATGAAGTAGTCAGAATTCTCTCCTCTTCTAATTTTTGGAATAATTTGAGAATTGTAACTAGCTTTTCTTTAGAAGTCTGGAAGAATTCCATGTAGCAGTAAAGCCATGGGGTCTTGGGCATTTCTTTTTTTGGAAGACTTTTATTGCTGATTCAATCTCATAGTCATTATTGGCCTGTTCAAGTTTTCTATTCCATCCTAGTTCAATTTTGGTAGGGTGTATGTGTCCAGGAATTTATCCATTTCCTCTAGGTTTCCAATTTGTTGTCATATGATTGTTCATAATAAATTCTAATGATCCTTTATGTTTCCATTATATCAGATGTAATGTCTCATTTTTATCTCTGATATTATTTTTTCAGGTCTTCTCTCTTTTTTCTTGACTAGTATAGCAAGCAGTTTATCAATTATGTTTATCTTTTGGAAAAAGTAATTTTTCATTTCATCGATTATTTATAATTTTTTTTAGTCTCCATTTTGTCTAGTTGTTTTCTAATCTTTATTATTTCTGTCCTACTAATTTGGGCTTTGATTTGTTGTTACTTTTCTATTTCTTTGAGGTGCATCATTAGGATTGTTATTTAAATTCCTTCTCCTTTTTGTAGCTGTTTATTGCTGTGAAGTTTCCTCTTATCCCTGCTTTTGCTGTGTCACATGGGTTTTTGTTTGTTGTATTTCCATTTTTACTTGTTTCAAATTTCCTTTTACATTTTTTCTTACTATCTTTGTCGATGCAAAGGTAATTTAAAAGTATGTTCTTTAATTTACATGTATTTGTTAAATTTTCAAAGTTTCATTTCTTATTGTAGTTTTATTCCTTTATGTTCTAAAAAGATATTTGATATGATTTAAATTAAAAAAATATTTAAACTTGTTTTGTGGCCTAATATATGGTCTGTCCCAGAGAATGTTTGCATGTGCTGATGAGAAGACTGTGTATTCTGCTACTGTTTGATAAAAGGTTTAGTAAATAAATTTCTGTTAGGTCCATTTAATCTACAGTGCAAATTTAGTCTCACAGTTCTTTGCTTATTTTCTCTCTAAATAATCTGTCCAATGCTGAAAGTGTAGTGTAGAAAGTCCCAACTATTAATGTATTAGTGTCTATCTCTCCCTTTAATTCTAATAATATTTGCTATATATATATATATATATATATCTATATATATAGATAGATATACACACACATACATATATATATATATATAAACATACACACACACACACGCACATCTTCCAATGTTGACTGTGTGTATGTGTGTGTTTACAATTGTTATAATGTCTTCGTGATTTTGCCCATTTTTTATTATGTAATGACCCTTACGTCACTTTTTATGTTTTTGACAAAAGAGTGTTTTGTCTAATATAGGTATAAACATTCTACATGCTTCTGTTTTCTGTTTGTGTGGAATATTTTCTTTTCATCCATTTCATTTCAGTCTATTTCTGTCTTTACACATAAAGTAAACGTCTTGTCAGCAACATACAGCTAGATTTCTCTTTTAATCCATTTAGCCAGTCTATATCTATATCAAATTATGTAAACTCAAGGTTGTTATTAATACATGAGGACTTACTACTGTCATTTTGTTAATTGCATTCTGATTATGTAGTTTATCTCGTTCCTTTCTTCTTTTAGTGTTTACTTTTATTTTTCAGTTTGTTTTTTTTTTTGTAAAGATAACATGTCAGTCCATTTTCTTTCTAATTTAGGTATATTCTCTGTCAGTGAGTTTTATAATTTAGTGGATTTCAACGAAGGTAGATTTCATTCCTTTGCTTTCAGATGTATGATTCTTGTAAGCATTTATTTTAGGGCCAGTCTAGTGATAATGAACTCTCTCCTTTTTTGCTAGTCTTAAAAAACATGTATTTTTCGGCAGGGCATGGTGATTCATGCCTGTAATCCCAGCACTTGGGGAGGCTGAGGCAGAATGATCACTTGAGGTCAGGAGTTCAAGACCAACTTGGCCAATATAGTGAAACCCCATCTCTACTAAAAATACAAAAATTAGCAGGGCATGGCAGCGGGAGCCTGTAGTCCCAGCTACTTGCGAGGCTGAGGCAGGACAATCACTTGAACCTGGGAGGTGGTGGTTGCAGTGAGCCGAGATCACTCCACTGCATTCCAGCCTCCTGGGTGAAAGAGCAAGACTGTCTCAAAAAAAAAAAAAATGTATTTCTCCTATATTTTTGAAAGATACCTTTGTGGAGTATAGTATTCTTAATCTGCAGTACTTTTTTGGTCAGCATTTTAAATATATCATTCCATTCTTTTTTTTCTTTCTTTCTTTCTTTTTTTTTTTTTTTTTTTTTTTTTGAGATGGTGTCGTGCTCTGTCACCAGGCTGGAGTGCAGTGGTGTAATCTTGGCTCACTGCAAACTCCGCCTCCCAGATGGAAGCGATTCTCCTGCCTCAGCCTCCTGAGTAGCTGGAGCTACAGTCGTGCACCACCACGCCCAGCTAAATTTTGTATTTTTAGTAGAGATGGGGTTTCACCATGTTGGCCAGGATGATCTTGATCTCTTGACCTTGTGATCTGCCCGCCTCAGTCTCCCTATCATCCCATTCTTTTCTGACCTGTGAGGCTTTTGCCAAGAAATCTGCTGTTAGTCTTAAGAATTCCCTTATATATGACTTAATACTTTTTCCTCCTCTTTTAGAAATTTTTTTGTTTCCCTTTTGATTGTTTGACTATAAAATGCCTTGGAGATGACAATATTGTCTTGTAACTATTTGGAGATATTTGATCTTCCTCTATCTGAATGTTTATATGTATTTTCCAAGATTTGAAAAGTTTTCACCTATTTTATTATTAAATAGGGTATTTATGTCTTTTAAAAAATTTCTTCTCCTTCTGTAACTCCAAAAATTCAAATGTGTAATCACATTATGGTGTCTCATATATTCAAAGCTTTTTAAAAATTCCTTTTTATTCTTCTTCCTTCTCCTTTCCTCCTCCTCCTCCTCTTCCTCCTCCTCCTCTACCTCCTCCTCCTTTTTCTTCTTCTTCTTCACCTCTTCCTCCTCCTTCATTTTTTTGTTTAACTCTGTTACTTCTAACACCTGCCTTTAAATTTAAAAATTCTTTTCTCTGACTAATTTAGTTTACTGTTTAATCTCTTAAGTATATTGTTATTTTACTCATGAAATTCTCCCATTTCAGAATTTTGGTTTCTTTTTTATGATATCCATTTTTTGTTGAATTTCTAATACAGATCATTAATTTTTTTCTAACTTATTTGTATTGTTTATCTGTGTTCTCTTATATCTCACTGTGTTTCTTTAATCATTATTTTGAATTCTTTGGTGGGCATTTTATAGATTTCCTTTTTGGGGGTCTGTTACTGGATAGTTATTGTGTTCTTTTGAAGTGTCATGTTTTCTTGCTTTTTCATGTTTCTTGTGTCCATACATTTATATCTGGGCATTGGTGTAACAGTCATTTCTTTTAATTTTATGAATTAACTTGCATAGGAAAAGGTTTTTTTCTCCGGAAAGATGTAATGTATCCATAGTGTTTGCTGGGTAGAATGTTTTGCCTTTAATTCTGGTGTAGTCTCTGCATAATTTCTCTGGCTATAATTACCATCAGTAGTTTCTGTGAGTTCTTCAGTAGCTTAAGCTATAGTTATTAGTGGAGTCAGTGGTGAGGTTTTGCTGGAAATGGGACATCAGCTGAACCCATCTTTGGCGACAAATTATGATGGCAATGAACTGGGCATGCTTCTCTTTCAGCCCCTGGGTGGCATACGTGATTGCTGCTGATGGCAACTTTGAGCTGGCCAATCTTTACACCTCTAGGTGGTATACCTCTAGGCAGGTGCCAGCAGAGGCAGTGGTCTGCCAGGCAGTCCTTGGGATCCAAATGATACACGTGGTGTCAACATTGGCAGTAGCAAGTCCAAGCCAATACTCATACCCTTAAGTGGTGTACATGGGCTCTAGAAAACTCAATTAATTTGGGGAAGATTTTCATGAACTTTCTTTTTGTTCCCATGCCTTAAGCAGACATACTTATTCCATGTTCTGGATCTTTCATATTATATAATGCAGTAATATGATATTTCATTAATTTTCTTTCACATTCCTACTCTCAGCTCCTCTACATATAGATTAACATATTCTAAGCTATTATCACCCTCAATGAATCACCATTTCTAGAATATTGTATTAATTTTAAGCCTCCATCATGCCCTTGCTTTCTGAAAAGTAAATTATTTATTTCCTTCTTGATTCTTATCTCTCCAATGCTTTCCACTCTACTCTAACTCTCACCCCTCAAATGTAGGGCTAATCTTTTCTTCTTCTTTGTACACTGACCATAATTATATTCACAGCAAATTTTGTCCTAATGATGCTACAGAAGACATAGCTAGATAGGAGACAAAATGAGAGAACTACAGAGACAAAATATTTCATTCACTTTGCCCCACCCTCATATTTATTGCATTCATCTCCTTATTCTAGAACCTCACAAATAACAGTAAAAGTTGATGGAATGAATAAATGTATCAAAATTTGAGAAAATACAGAATACAAATATTGTTTTCTGTTAATGTGTCTTTGATTTGGCCATACTTTCTCAAAATAAAGCATTGAAACCACCCTAGATGTCTCAGAAGTCATTGCCTTTTTATAGGGCACAAAGTAAAAGAATGTCCAATCTTAATGTTGATTTTTTTTTCCTATTTAGACACAACTCATTTCAAATTTAATGAAGGTATTTCTTTAAAAAATGATCTCTTACTAAGTAAATATGGTTAATACATAAAGCATAAAAACACTAACATCTACATAGAATATAAGCATAAACTACTTAGTAATAAGGTTTAGATTTTAAAATTTAAAAGTCACTTGTTAATCGCACCCCTCTTTTGCTCCAAATATGTGGCTGTCATTTTTTCCGTAACTTCTAGAACTATAAGCATTTTTCTATAACTGCAAATACAAAAAATTAATTGGGAGAAGCTTAGAATAATATAACAGAAATTGACATCAAGCTTAAATATGAATAACTATGATTCTATATAGAATTATAAAAAAACCATTGGTGCATACATGATTTGTTTAGCATTGTCTATATGAGTCTATATGACTGAGTTTGATGGTTCTTGGGAAAATTATAAGAGTTTTGAGAAAAATTGGTAATCCACTCCAGCAAATATTTATTGAATAAGAAGCATGGAATTGAAAACACTTCTGTGTATTTTCTGCATTATTTTCTGCAAATTGGCACATAATACAGAAGCAGATATAAATATTTTAGCTTTTTATTGCCTATTGCTTGGTTACTATAGTTTTTCTTCAGCCTAAAGCTGTAAAAATGAAAAATCTGTTTCTGGGAAGAAATTGATATGAAAGATTTCATTTGAATTTATTCTTTCTAAAATGTAACTAAGATAAATATTTAATATCTTAATCTTATTTTTATTTTGGTTAATATTTTATAAAGTTATAGGCTAATGCATTTTTAAGACAGAGTTCCAAATATCGTATAGTTTTGTAACAATAAATGTATTTATCAATTGATGAAAATTTTTAATACTTTAATTTTTTAGATTTGTAATACAAGTTGTATTTTAATTTACTGCACATATATTTAAAATATAAGAATTTGATTTGTTTGGAAGTACTTGATTTATTTATTTATTTTTTGCTTACTTTGAGGAAAGGTATTATATCCACCTAGTTTTTAGAAAGGGGAATAAATGGTACCCAAATTAATAATTACAATTGAGGCTATCCTCAGGTCAAATTGCAAAAATAGTTTACTTTCACATTCAATGTCTCATTTCAGTCTGATTAACAATAAGACATCTGCATGACGATTGTCTGCTTTGAAACATGACCTTTCTAAATAAACATAAGTTTTGTTTGTATAAATTATTCTATGAATATTTTCCCATTATGTTCATATATTTGCAGATGATATTGTTTGCCTTTTAAATGGGGCTTTTTGTAGATGAAGACTTTACTCAAGGTAAATTGAGAAGCCAGTGGTACAGAGGACGCTTCTCAGGGACTATCAAATTAAAAATATAAATTGTAACACTAGTCTAGAGTATATTAACATTTCAATGTGCTCACTCCATGAGTGTGATTTTACTTATAATTTCAGAATATATGAGTGTGATTATATGCTGATTATTCACATTAGTACTTGTAGTTACTGAAATTGACTAATGTTCATACCCAGGATTATGCCTCTCTATTGTGTGTTTGTCTGTATGACACCTAGGAAGGGAGGAATAGAAGAGGGAAGAGAAAGAGATTAGAAAAAATTTTAATTTAAGAAAAATTATATAATATTTTATAGTATTTTCTACACCTGTACTTAGAAGCTTAAAAAAAAATATGTGCTTAAATATGCTTAGAATTCTATATTTCAGGCTGAGCTCAGCCATAGTTTTCCTCTGGTGGTTTCCCTTTACAATATTCACATTGCTGCAGCCTTCCGTAGCTTCATTGGAACCGGATAGTTCACTATGGTCTCACTTTAA
Organism: Homo sapiens; assembly: GCF_000001405.40. Classification (NCBI taxonomy): domain Eukaryota; kingdom Metazoa; phylum Chordata; class Mammalia; order Primates; family Hominidae; genus Homo; species Homo sapiens. The sequence goes on from NC_000002.12 coordinate 194,195,781, forward strand.
TTAATGCATCTCACAGGTGAGTAATTTGTTGATTGTTGGCAAAATGCACCCCTTTTCTACCATGTTTTCTCCCAACAGGAATATCTAGATCTAATGACATGGATCTAAGAGGATGGCAAGGAAGCTGTGAGGCCCTGTGAATTCTTGCTCAGAAGTGACAACAGCATTTCTAATAGATTTGATTAGTCAAAGCAAGTCACAAAACCAATTTTCAAGGGGCAAGGAAAAATATACGTTACCTCAGTGTGAAGAGCTGTTGTAAAGTGTTTGTTCTCATGTTTTACCTAAATATTAAGTATTTTTTTTTATTTTTGTGTTTATTTGGAAAATTTTCTAGAATTATTGTTCTCACCATAAGCAAATGGATTTTTGGAAAGTGACAAATATTCTTTTAGGGAATATTCATTTGTCATTAAGTACAAAAGCTTCCATTTTAAAAATGTCATACTAAAAATGTACATTATTGTGATTTTAAAAGAAATATTCTTTGATATTCAAATTTTTACTTTCCTTTTAATTATGAAGAGAGAAGAAAGTCTGGCCAAATAATACTGATATTCACAATTTCTTAATCAGAAAGGTCTTGAATGTTATCTAAATAAATTTGTGCTTAATTTTAATTATATTAGTTATAATGCTTTTAATTTTATTGTACAAAAGATAGTGAATGACAATTAGACAGTTTAAATCTTCTTTAAAAAGATTGAAAGAGAATTCTCCATAGGAGTGAGCAATAGGGACTAGACTAAAATTTTTCTCTGGAAGTATATCTGGACTGTATAAATGATCATTAGAATTATGGATGAAACTTAAAAGACTAAATATAAATATGTTTTCATTATGAACTGGAAGCAATCGAGATATATATATATATATGTCTATATCCATATGTCTATATATTTCATTCATAGTATGAAATAATCTATATATTTCATACTATCGACTATCTTGTGCCTATAGCATGAAAATTATCTTAGGATACATAAACACACACATACACAGGCACACACCCACGCACACATACTATCATTCAACTGTTTGAGTTTCACTCAATCTAAATTTTCACATTATAGATGTTTTGTGAAAACAAAAATAAAATCTTCAAGAAAATAATTTTTGGGAAAGGAGGGGCAAGGGAAATGAAAAACTGAACCTCTGATAACAAGACTGCATTAAAATATTTGTGGATTGGCTAGCTTTTAAACTCTATACTATTTAGAATATGTAAACTTACAAATTAATTTTGATTCTTAATTCATTGTTATGAAAGTATAATATTGTTTACACTACACAGATTAATTCATGTCCTGCCATGCAGAATTATGAAGGAATGAAATTCTATTTCATTTCCTTATAAGATGGCTGTTCCTCAAGTTTAGTAACTTTGGAAATTCATCCTTAGTTAATCTCTTGGTGCAATAAGAAAAGTTCTATTATATTTACTATATTTAATTACTCACAAGTTTTTTCATGTGTATTTTTCTACCTGTGATATCCCCAGTTAAAGATCTTGATGATGTAGGCAGCAATTGATATCTCTGACTCATCATAAGAGCTACTCTGAAAAATATTTTCAGCTATAAGATAATTGTGAGACACATGCCACCTGTGAGGGAAGCCTGGTGTCTCGGCAAAGTCACACATACCCATAGGTGAATATATGTAATATACAATGTAATATACATCTTCGCTGAGACAGAACACTTGCTGTATGGTGGGGGTTAGTGAGTAAGTAACTAAGCTCTGCTTTACTCCCTTGATTCCTCTTATTTAACTGATGATTCTTGAATTTTTCTTCCACTTCAAAACTTAATTCTTGAATTGGTGACCTCGAATTTGGCTGATTTGCCCTACAAGGGCACAGTGGATGAACAAGGCTTATTAGCAAAACCCGTTCACACAATTATGTTCTCTCAAGTCATTTACACAGCATTTCATGATTGATATTTAAAGCACTCAGTATTACACCTAGTAATTGAATCTTTGGTTAAAATAAAGGTCTTATGCATGGGTTAAATGTCATAATATATAACTATGAGGGCAGTCCATTGTCCCTACAGTTATATTCCCTTTGTTATGTTAAAAACTATACCCCTCCAACATTTTACCATGGTCATATTTTATAAACTACATCAATATTTTTGTTTTATTCACCCAGATTTATTAATTATGCTAATAACCCTAGTCTTGGCTTGGATTATCTATAATTCTGACCCCAGTGCTCTATATGAGTTTTCCCATGGTCACTATAATTATTTATACAGCAATTATATACTGTCAGTGAATTTTTTCATGGCAGCTTATAATTCAGTAACCACAGACACTATGAGAATCACTAAACAAATGTTAGCATAGAAATTTTTATGAAAAATTGATTATGTAGGGTTTTTAATGACTTCTTTTCTGATTATGGTAGTAATGTATAATTTAAATATATAAAATATGACAAATATAGAACACAGGCAAAATATGTTTGCTATGAATATTTTGGTTTAAGTTACTTATTTTTATGGGTCCTCTATGTTTTAAAAAATAGCTAATACAAGTACTACTAATAATAGCTACAATCTAACAAAACCATTTTTATATAAAGCATTTTTCTCAGATTTTAATACATTCACTTAATTTCCAAATAACACTCTACTTAGGTATTGTTTATTTTGTTTTACAGATAACTAATGACCAGAATATTTAAACACATTATTACAGGCTACAGAATTATTAAGTATAATCCAAATTCAAACCATTATCTCTTTGTCTCTCAAGCCTAATATCTTAATCACTGTATTATATGAAAATAATGGAATAATTTACAGTATACACAATTCTTAAAATTAATATAAAAGAGTGAAGAAAGTTGGAATGAGAAGAGAGAAAAAAACAGCAAAAAGTATTGCTCTAGGCAAATAAGGCTTAAACCTGCTAAGGAACTTCTGGAAACATTATGTAAACACTGGAAGACTTAGGACATCGGCTGCTGACCTACAAAGAACAAAGTATATAATATACAACTATTGTGGACATTGACTTAGATCCCAGCATCTAAACACTTTGTGCTCACTTCCACCAGAATATCTACATGGGTGATCAGCAGCAAACCCCACAAAGAGGTCCAAAATCTGGCTCCCCTGTCCTGTGAATAATATACGCAGAAAAGGCTAAATACATTTGCAGATAAAATTAAGCTGGCTAATCAACTGAATTGAGACTGGGGGGATTATGGTGGAATATCCAAGTGGGCCCAGTATAATCACAAGGGTTCTTACACAGTGGAATAGAAACACAGAAGAGAGAGAGTGTCAGAGTGATGTAATATAAGACGTATTTCACTAGCTATTGCTTATTTTGAAGATGGAAGGGGGCTTCAAGGCAAGAAATGCAGACAGCTTCTAGAATATGGAAGAGGCCAAAAAAAAAAATTCTCCCCTATGAGCCTCCAAAAGATAATACAGTTCTGCTGACCCCTTGATTTGAGACAGGTGAAACTCATTTTAGACTTTGAATCTCCAAAGTAGAAAATCATACATAGGAAACTAATGCAATACTTTTTCCCCTAGACTTCCCTCTTTTCCATCATCTAATCTTATTTTCTCCAGATCTTTGACAAACATCCAAGCCATTGGCTAATTCTCAAGAATACATCTAAATCAGACCACGGTTTCCTTCACATTAAAAAAAATTGTGTGTATTACTAACATTTCTGATCATTTACCACTGTTATTTTGGGCCACTCTTGAGTTGGACTGTAGTGAGGCAACAGTTTATTGTCAACTCACAGCATCATATCAAGCAGAATCATCCATAAACTGGGACTGATTTTTCTTATTCTCTTTTCACCAGAATGTCATAGGAACATTCTCAATGAGTTCATAGGTTTGGGCTGAAAAAAGTGCCAGTGCAATGGGAGTAGATGGCATGGCATCAGAATTACCTGTTTGTATAATTTTCTTAAGTCTGCTGGACATGCTCATGCTAAGTTCTGAATTAACCATTGCCATTATCTAATGGACTTCTCCTGAACTTTTGACCTGATTCATTTGAAAATATTCTACTCATGACAATTAATTTCTGTTATATGGTTACATAATGTGCCATGGTTAACTACTGTTTCTATTTGGGTCAAATAGCCAGCCAGGAAATTTTTTTCTAATAGTTCCCTGCTGCTCAAGGAACTTGTCATCCACTCCACAGACATTTATATCTAGAATCATGAGATTAGCCTGGCCTGGCAAAACATCTGTGGAAGAATCTTAAACTGCTACAGAGTCCTGTCTTCTATGGGCACCACTCAAAACTACAATCCTTTTGAGATGAAACCACCTTTGCAAAATTATAACTGAGAAATTATAACAGTAAAAGAAATCAGATCTAACTGACCCCATCTTCCTTCTAACTTCTAAACTATCTTTGTTCATTCCTGGGCATAGGCCGAACTAGCCTTGGGAAGGAATTTAGTGTAGTTTAAACTCTGAAACAAAATTGGTAATATCCCTTTCCCGAAATACATCCTTCTTGCCTGGGGACCAGTCTGCCTTTGCAGGACTAACAAATTAACTACAAGATTAGCAATTACAGTTTAGGGGTCATGCAGCCTCTGGCTCCAAAAGTCTGAACCTCCCCATATTGCTCCTGAGGATAACATCACTATTGTAAAACCTGAGAGCAGTGCTTGAGATATTTTGCAGACCCTGGACTCCATGGATCAACTGACACCATCCAGACCGATAACCTGGCTCAATCAGTTCTGCCTTCCCACCCAGGAACAGAAAATAGCAAGAAAAACTCACTTTTACCCCCTATGATTTCACCTCTAACCCTATCAATCAGTACTCCCCACTTCCCAAGCCCTTCCCCATTAAATAATCTTTAAAAACTCTGATCCCCAAATGCTCAGAGAGACTAATTTGAGTAATGATAAAACTCTGGTCTCCACACAACCATCTCTGTGTGAATTACTCTTTCTCTATTGCCATTCCCCTGTCTTGATAAATCGGCTCTTTCTAGGCAGTGGGCAAGTTGAACCCATTGGGTGGTTATAGAGACATCAAATAAATGGTTTAAAATGATATTTATAAGAGTGATATGCTGTATTTCAAATTGTGCTATATGGTACCTACAAAATTCAAAGAGTTCCATCAACATTTTGCCTTTACCTTAGAGGAGACATTCTGACATAATGTAGATCAATAAATTTCTAAAAATTCCATCAATCCGTAGACCCTTGAGTCTTTCTCAGGTTTTTCTTTCGGATTTTGCGACTCACTTTCCTTACAAGGATCCAAAGTGCCTGCCTTTTATATAAACCAGGTCAAATAAGCACAATGTCATCAATACAGTGGATCAGTGTGATATTTGCAAATGTTTGCAGAATGTCAAGTCAATCAAGGTCCCTTTGGACTATATAGTAATAGAGAGCAGAATTAACATAACTTTTATGTTAACTGGGATAACTTAGTGAATATGAACTGTTCTGTTTCCCAAGTGAGTGCAAACTATTTTGGTCATCTTTCCTGATGGAGATTGACAAAATGTATTCACCAGATCAATATTCACATACCAAGTTCCAGAGGCTGTGTCAATATGTTTCAGTGCAGACATTATATCAGCACAGCAACTATGATTGAAATTATCACTTGATTACATTTTCAGGCGTGAACTGTCATTCTCCGTTATCCATCCACTTTTTGCAGTGGTCATACTGGTGAAATGAACAGACTAAAATGAGGACAACAACCCTTTAGAGAGTACCAATATCATGACAGTCCTAGCTAGTATGCAGTATTTCTTCTTCTTAAACTTAGTTCAAGGAGGGTGGAGAAGGGTAATTTTGTTCACTTCCAAAATTTTCATTTGACCTTACTACCAAGTTGTTTTTACTTAACGTACCAGAGAACTCCATAAGTGTTCTGTAGCACCATCCTGATTATACCTTCCAGACCAGGAAAATGAATACAGGATGGTCACTTTGTTACTATTGGACTATCTGTAAAATTTTTTGAACAAAAAATAAATTTAGAATGGCTTTCATATATGTCTACTTGGAGATTACTGGCATCATTACAATCTCACCGACTATGCAAACAGCTCCCAAATGATTAGGATATCTTCTTTCTCCCTGTCTAGAATTACTACTGCAATATACCGTGGGTCCACTGGAGGAATTAGTAAGAAAAATTTCTTATATATCCTTGTAGTAGAATTTCAGAGTCTTTTGTTACCAACTTTTATTTTAGATTCAGGGGGTACATATGCAGGTTTGTTACATGGGTACGTTGTATGTCACTGAAGTTTAGCATGTGAAAGATCCTGTCATCCAAGTAGTGAGCATAGTACCTAATAGATAGTTTTATAAACCTCATCCCTCTCCTACCTTCCCCCCCCCATTAGTTTCCAGTATCACTACTTCCCATCTTTATGTCCATTTGTATTCAATGTTTAGCTTCCATTTACAAGCGAGTAAATGCTGTATTTGGCATTCTGTTCCTGCATTTATTTGCTTAGGATTATGGCCTCCAGCTCTATCCATGTTGCTGTAAAGGACATAATTTCATTCTTTTTTATGGCTGTGTAGTATTCCATGCTGTGTATGTACCACATTTTTATCCAATCCACCACTGATGGTCACCTAGGTTGATTTTATGTCTTTGCTCTTATAAAGAGCATGGTGATGAACATGCAAGTACATGTGTCTCTTTGGGATAATGATCTATTTTCCTTTGACTATATACCCAGTAATGGGGTTGTTGGGCCAAACGTTAGTTCTGTTTTATGTTCATTGAGAAATCTCCAAACTGCTTTCCACAGTGGCTGAACGAATTTACATTCCCACCGACAGTATGTAAGTGTTCCCTTTTCTCTGGAACTTGCTGACATCTATTATGCTATGTCTTCTTAAGAATAACCATTCTGACTGCTATAAAATTTTATCTCATTGTGGTTTTGATTTGTATTTTTCTAATAATCAGTAAAAATGAGCATCTTTTTATATGTTGGTCACTGGTATGTCTTCTTTTGAGAAGTGTTTGTTCATGTCCATTGTCCATTTTTTAATGGATTTTTTCTTTTCTTTGTTGTATTGTTAAGTTCCTTATAGATTTGGATGATAGACCTTTTGTGGGTGCATAGCTTGCAAATATTTTCTTTCACTGTGTAGGTTATCTATTTACTCTGCTGATGGTTTCTTTTGCTGTGCGGAAACTTTTTTTAGTTTAAGTAAGTCCCACTTGCCAATTTTTGTTTTTGTTGCAATTGCTTTTGGAGACTTAGTCATATATTCTTTGCCAAGGCTGATGTACAAAATACTATTTCCTAGGTTTTCTTTTAGAATTTTTATAGTTTAAGGTCTAACATTTAAGTCTTTAATGCATTTTAAGTTAATTTTTGTATACGGTAAAATGTAAGAATGCTGTTTCATTCTTCTGCGTATGGCTAGCCAGTTATTCAAGCATCATTTATTGAACAGGGAATCATTTTTTCATTGCTTGTTATTGATGACTTAGTTGAAAATCTTTGACTGTAGGTGTGTGGTTTTATTCCTGGATTCTCAAACCTGTTCCATTAGTCTATGTGTCTGTTTTTGCCACAATACCATGCTGTTTTAGTTACTTTAGTCTTGTAGTGTAGGTTGAAGTAAGCCTCCAGCTGTTTCTTTTTTTTTTACTTAAGATTGCTAAGGCTGTTTGGATAATTTTGTTCTTCTATGAATTTTAGAATAGGTTTTTTTTTTCAAATTCTGTGAAAAAATGACTTATATAGCTTGATAGGAATCGCATTAAATCAGGAGATTGCTTTGGACAGTGTGGCCATTTTGACAATATTGATTCTTCTAATCCATGAGCAGTAGATGTTTTATCCATTTGTGTCATTTATGATTTCTTTCAGCATTGTGTTGTACTTCTTTTTATAGATATCTTTCACCTCCTTGATTAGATGTATACAGGGTATTTTATTTTTATGCAGCTATTTTAAACAATGCCACGTTATCAATTTGGCTCTTAGTTTGAACATTATATGTGCATAGAAATGCTACTAATTTTCATGCTTTGATTTTGTATCCTGAAACTACTGAAGTCATTTATTACCTCTAGGAGCCTTTTGGTGAAATCTTTAAGTTTTTCTAGGTATAGAACCATATCATTAGCAAAGAGAGATAATTTCACTTCTTTTTCTCCTATTTAGATGCCTTTTATTTCTTTTCTTCTTGATTGTTCTGGTTAGCATTTCTAATACTATGTTGAATAGGAGCAGTTGGAGTGGGCAGCCTTGTCTTGTTCCAATTCTTAAGGGGCGTGCTCTCAGCTTTTGCCCAGTGAGTGTAATGTCTGTGTGTTAGTCATAGATGACTCATTATTTTGAGGAATCTTTCTTGATGCCTACTTTGTTGAGGGTTTTAATCATGAAGGGATGTTGGATTTTATCAAAAGCTTTTTTCTGTGTCTTTGGAGATGACCATGGTTTGTTTGTTTGTTTTTGTTTTTAATTATGTTAATGTGGTGAATCACATTTATTGAATTGTATATGTGGTGAACTAACTTTTTGATATTCTACTGGATTCAGTTTGTTACTGTTTTCTTGAGAATTTCTGTGTTTATGTTCGTCAGGGAGATTGGCCTATAGTTTTCTTGTTTCTTTGCCTGATTTTGGCATCAAAATGATGCTGGATTTATAGAATGAGTTAGGGACATGGCCCTCCTCTTCAATTATTTTGGAATAGTTTCAGTAGGATTGGTACCAGCCCATCTGTATACATCTGGTAGAATTTGGTTGTGAATCTCTCTAGTCCAGGACACTTTTTGGTTCATAGAGTTTTTATTATTGATTCAATTTTCAAACTCAATGTTGATCAGTTTGGGGTTTTGATTTCTTACTAAATCAATCTTGGGAGGTTGTGTATTTCTAGAAATTTATTCATTTCTTTTAGATTTTCTAGTTTGTCTTCATAGAAGCATTCATCATAGTCCCTAGGGATCTTTTGTATTTCTGTGGAATTTGTTTTAATGGCAACTTTGTCATTTCTAATTGTACTCATTTTAGACCTTCTCTCTCTTTTTGTTTGTTAACCTACTTAGAAGTCTATCAATCTTGTTTATTCTTTCAAATAGCCAGGTTTACATGTTGTTGATTCTTTCTACAGTTGTTTGGGTTTCAATTTTGTTCAGTTGTACTCTGGTTTTATTTATTTATTTTCTTCTGCTAGCTTTGGGCTTAGCCTGTTCTTGTTTTTCTATTTCCTTAAGATGCAGTGTTAAATTTTTAATTTGAGATCTAACTTGTTTATATACAAATTTAGCACTATAAACTGTTAACACTGTCTTAGCTGTATCTCAGACTTTATGTTGTGTCTCTGTTTTCATTTATTTCAAAAATTTCTTAAATGTTTGCTTCAATTTATTTGTTTATTCAAAAGTTATTCAGAAGCAAGTTTTTTTTTTTTTAAATTTCCATGTAATTGTGTGGTTTTGAGGGATCTTCTTGATGTTGATTTTTATTTATTCCACTGTGGTCCAAAACGTTTTTTGATTTATTGAGACTTCCTTTATGGCTGAGTATGTGGTCAATCTTAGAATATGTTCTGTGTGCAGATGAAAAGAGTGTATATTCCGTTGTTGATTGGTGGAGTGTTCTGTAGATATTTATTAGGTCAAATTGATCAAGTGTCAAAATTACATCAGAATTTCTTTGTTAGTTTTCTGCCCCAATTATGTGTCTAACACTGTCAGTGTGGTGTTGAAGTATCCCACTATTTTTGTGTAGCTATCTAAGTTTTCCATAGGTCTAGAAGCACTTGTTTTATGAATCTGAGTACTCTGATACTGGGTGCATAAATATTTGGAATAGTTAATTCATCTTTTGAATTGAACCCTTTATCACGATGTAGTTTCCTTCTTTGTCCTTTATTACAGTCATTGGTTTAAACTGTATGTTATCTGCTCTTTTTTGTGTGTTCTGTTTGTGGGATAGAGCTTTCCCCAACCCTTTATCTTGAGTCTGTGGGTGCCTTTATCTGTAAGCTGGTTCCATGAAGACAACAGATAAATGGGTCTTGTTTTTTATCCAAGTTGCTGCTCTGTTCCTTGTAAGTATGACATTAAGATAGTTTACATTCGAGATTAATATTGATATATGAGGTTTTGATCCTATTATAAAGTTTTTTGCTGGTTGTTTGGTAGTTTCTATTATGTAGTTGCTTTAAAAAGTTTGCAAACTCTGTACTTAGGTGTGGTTTTGCGGTAGCAGATATCATTCTTTTGTTTCCTGGTTAGAACTTCTTTAAGGATCTTTTGTAAGACTGGTCTACCGGTCATGAATTCCCTTAAAGATCACTTGCCTAAAAAAGATTTTATTTTTCCTTCACGTATAAAGCTTAGTTTGTGGGGTGTGAAATTCTTAGTTGGTTTCTTTTCTTTGAGAATGCTGAAAATAGACCCCTAGACTCTTCTGACTTATAGGGTTTCTGCCGAGAAGTCTGTAATTAGCCTGATTGGGTTCCCTTTGTATATGATTTGATCTTTTTTTGTAGCTGGCTTTGGATTTATTCTTCGGTGTTGACCTTAGATGGTCTAGGGACCATCAAAGGACTATGTGCCTTGGTGATGTTCATTTTGTATAGTATCTGGCAGATGTTCTCTGTATTTGTTGTATCTGAATGTTTACATGTCTAGCAAGATCAGGATAAATGAATTATTTTCTCATATATGTTTTCTAGGTTATTTGTGCTTTTTTCTTGTCTCTCAAAAATGTCAATATTTGTAGGTTTGGTCACTTTCTGTAATCTCATACTTCTCAGATACTTTGTTCTTTTTTTAAAAAAAAAATTGTTTCTTTATTTTTGTCAGACTAGATTAGTTTAAATAACACTCCTTTAAGCTCTGAAATTCTTCTGCTTGGTTTAGTCTTTTGACAAAGGGAACTTTTTATTGTATTTTGAAATTCCTTGAGTGAGTTTTTCAATTCCAGTAGCTCTGATTGATTTCTTTTTAAGAGTTTACCTTTTCCTTTATTTCCTGGATTGCTTTAAATGTTTTTTATGGTTGATTGTTAACCTTATCTTGAATCTTGTTTAGCTCCCATGTAATCTATATTTTGAATTCTTTGTCATCGTTGTGCCTCCATTTTTGGTAGGTGGCACATTCTGAAGATCTCGACTGAGCCTTTGGTAACATCAAAGAAATTTTTTATGGTGGCCAAATTCTTATGCTGGTTTCCTCTCACCTAGAGAAGGTAGTGTCAGAAAAGGTCTTCTGGATTTGATTCTATGGCTATATATGCTTCTATTCACAGGCTTTGTACTGGGCTGCACAGTTTGACCTATAGGCCAGTAGATGGTGTTTGAAGAGAAAAGCCAGCTCCTGCACAAGAAGGTGGATATGGATCTAATATTTGTTTACTACGAGGTGCTCTCTGTTTTTCCAGGTGAAGGGCTGGACAGTGACATACCTGGTTCCTTAAGCATCCTTTTCCATGTGAATGGAGAGACACGGCTGGGCAAAGATGAAGTCCCTGGCTTGACCATGAATGTCCCAATGTTGAGTTTAAGCACCAGGTCAAATCTCCTGATGAAGTGCATTGAGGTGTATGTGTGTGTGCGTGTATGTGTGTGAGTGTGTGTGGTGGGGAGAGGTAGAGTTAGGGGGCTGCACCAGCTCCTCTTCCTAGATAGACAGGAATGTGGCCTGTTTCCTTATAATCACCCTTGTTCCAAGTCTCATGACTCCTATTTCAGACACACTCTGTAATCTATCTACACAGGGAATGCTGGTTTTGCAACTCTCTCTGGAAGTGGTTTCAGGGCATAACCTTGCCACTCAACCTCATACAGTTAGCTTTGAGGCTCACCTGTTCTCTGATGTGGCAGTACTGCTGCATCTTGTATGGGGGGCTCCACCATTGGGCCTGCGTGAATGGGTGTTGGTCATGGTAGTGTTGGCTAGTTGGGTTGGGCTGACCTCAGGCCCTGAAGGAAGTGGTCAGGTGTCAGCAGAGTTAGAATAGGAGATAGATATTTCTCCAGTTTCCAGACCTCTAGATGACTAACTGGACAGCATATATGTGTTCTAAAGGGGCTGAACCAGGGTTAGGCTAGCCTAGAGTTCAAGTGCTGGCTGTGGTGGGGGGTGTGCTCATCCCCATGTCACCAGCCAAAATCTCAGGCAAGAGCACGCAGAACCCTTAGGTGTTTGGAGCCTGAGGGAATATCACAGGGCTGTGGGGGTTGAGTTTTCAGAAAAGCTGTAGGTTGCAGGTAAAATATTCAGGCAGGGGCAGTGTGACTGTCTTGGGGACCTTTCACTGCTGTATTAGCCTCTTCTCATGCTGCTAATAAAGACATACCAGAGACTGGGTAATTTATAAGGGAAAGAGGTTTAATTGACTCACAGTTCCACATGGCTAGGGAGGCCTCACAATAATGGTGGAAGGTGAATGAGGAGCAAAGTCACATATTACATAGTGACAGGCAAGAGAGTTTGTGCAGGGAAACTCCCGTTTATAAAACCATCAGATCTTGTGAGAACTCACTATCAGGAGACTAGCTTGGGGGAAACCACACCCATGATTCAATTACATGTGGTCTCTTAGACAATACCCTTGAAGAGCTACTATTCACTTGCTACTTCATTTTATCCCGGTGAGAGTGATGCACACTAGCTACAACTAGTCAGCCATCTTTAACTGCCAAGAGCTCAGTCTTCTTATAAGTTAAAGGACTTTTTCTTCATTTACTGGCTTCTGGATCTGAAAATATGGCTAATATGTAGAAATTGAGTAAGGGGTTTTCCATTTTTGTTGTTGATATCAGCCTTCAGCTCACCAGCTTTTGATATACAGGCATACCTTGCTTTATTGCATTTCATGTTATTGCACTTCACAAATATCACATTTTTTCTAAATTGAGAGTTTGCAGCAACCCTGCATCAAAAAGTATATTGACACCATTTTTCCAAGAGTATGTGTTCACTTCATACCTTTGTGTCACTGTTTGGTAATTCTTACAATATTTCAAACTTTTTCATTATTCTTATATCTGTTATAATGATCTATGATCAATAATCTTTGATGTTACTATTTTAATTCTTTTGAGGTGGTATGAAGCACATCTATGTAAGATGGCAAATGTAATAAATAAATGTGTGTGTTCTGAATGCTCCATTGATCAGTACTCCCTTGTCTCACTCCCTCTATTCAGGCCTTCCATTCACTGAGACACAATAGTGTTTATATTAGGCCAATTAATAACCCTACAATTGCCTCTAAGTGTTCAAGAGAGGACAAGTTGCCTTTCAGTTTAAATCAAAAAGTAGAAATGATGAAGCTTAGTGAGAAAGGAATATTAAAAAATGAGATAGGCCAAAAGCCAGACCTCTTCATCCAAACTGTTAGCCAAGGTACAAAAGCAAATAAAAAGTTATTGAAGGAAATTAAAAGTGCCATTCAAGTGAATACACAAATAATCAGAGAGCAAAACACCCATATTGGTAATATGGAGAAAGTTTTAGTGGACTGTAGAGGAGATGAAACCAGGCACAACGTTCCCTTAGCCAAAATCTAATCCAGAAAAAGGCCAAACCTCTCTTCAATTCTATGAAGAATGAGAGAGGTAATGAAGTTGTAGAAGAAAAGTTTGCAACTAGCAGAGGTTGGTTCATGAAATTTAAGAAAATAAGCCATCTACGTAACATAAGAGTTCAAGGTGGAGCAGCAAGTGCTGATGTAGAAAATTAAGCAAGTCATTCAGAAGATCTAGCTAAGATCATTAGAAGGTGGCTGCATAAAACAACAGATTTTCAGATGAAACAACTTTTTTTTTTTTTTGAGACAGAGTCTCACTCTGTCACCTAGGCTGGAGTGTGATCTCAGCTCACTGCTGCAAACTTCACCTCCTAGGTAAAGCAATTCTTTCATCTCAGCCTCCCAAGTAGCTGGGACTACAGGTGCCCACCACCACAACCGGCTAATTTTTGTATTTTTAGTAGAGATGGCGTTTCACCATATCGGTCAGGCTGGTCTCAAACTCCTGACCTCAGGTGATCCACCAGCCTCGGCCTCCCAAAGTGCTGAGATTACAGGCGTGAGCCACCATGCCTGGCTGAAACAACTTTTTATTGAAAGCAGATGCCATCTAGGACTTTCATGAACTAGGAATAAGTAAATGGCTGGCTTCAAAACTGCAAAGTATAGGCTGACTGTCGTGTTAACTGCTAATGCAGCTGATGATTTTAAGTTGAAGCCAATGCTGATTTACAAATCTGAAAATGCTAGGGTCCTCAAGAATTATGCTGAATTTACTTTGCCTGTATTCTATAAATGGAAGAACAAAAACTGGATGATATCACATTTGTTTGCAGCATTGTTTGCTAAATATTTTAAGTCCAATGTTGAGAACTCCTGCTTAGAAGGAAAGATTCCTTTCAAAATATTGCTGGTCATTGAAAATGCACTTGGTCACCCAAGAGCTGTGCTAAACACAAGATTAATGTTGTTTTCTACTTGCTAACACAACAGCCACTTTACAGCCCAAGGATTAAGGAGCAATTCTGACCTGCAAGTCCTATTATTTAAGACATACATTTCATAAGCCTATGCCTGCCATTGATATTAATTTCTTGATGGACCTGGGCAAAGTAAGTTGAAAACATTCTGGAAAAAAGATTTATCATTCTAGATGCCATTGAAAATATTCATGATTCATGGTAGGAGGTCAAAATATCAACTTTAACAGGAGTTTGGAAGAAGCTGATTCTAACCCTCATGGATGACTTTGAAGGTTTCAATATTTCATTGGAATAATAACTCAAACTGTAGTGGAAATAGCAACAGAATTAGAAGTGAAATCTATGGATGTTACTGAATGGTTGCAATATCATGATAAACATGGACAGATGAGAGTTTTTCTTTATGAATGAAAGTGGTTTCAAATAAAGTGGTTTCCTGAGACCTAATCTACTTCTGGTGAAGGTGTTTTGAGCATTGTTAAAATGACAACAAGGGATTTAAAGTATCCATTTATAAACTTGTTTGGTAAAGCAGGGATGGGTTTTTAAATGTTTGACTCCAATTTTGAAAGAATTCTACTGTGGATAAATGCTGTCAAAGTGCATTGCATATGCCAGAGGAATTTTTTAGAAAGGAAGAGTTCATCAATGTTGTAAACTTCACTCTTGTCTTAAGAAATTGCCACAGCCACCCTAGCTTTCAGCAACCGCCACCCTGATCAGTAAACAGCCTCAGATGATCCTTAGCAATTTTTAGCAATAAAGCATTTTAAAATCAAGATACATGCATTTTTTGAGACAGAATGTTATTACATACTTCAGAGGCTACCAAATAATGTAAACAACTTTCATATGTACAGGGAAAACAAAATATTTGTAGACCCACTTTGTTGTGATATTTGCTTTATTGTAGTGGTCTGGAATGGAACCCACAATAGCTCAGAGATATGCCTGTAGTTTAGTCATGTAAATTGAAAAATAACATTTCCTGCCAATGTATTTTTTTTCTCAAAGATCTTAGTCTATTAGCCATCAGTATAGATTCCTCCATGTCAAAGTCTCCTGGTTTAACTTTGGTCTTACTAACTTTTGTAATCGTATCACTTTTTTCCTAAGGTTTAAATGTTTGCAACTGCCTTTTCTCCTCCAGATTTCTATCTTCAGTATTCAATGTTCCATGGCAAGTGGTCCTATGCACAACCCTGCCAAATAAGATATCTACTGCTGAACTTCTTGATGATGCCAGGTTCTTTCATGTTATTAACATACCTTAATGTTTTACTTAAAATATTCCTGTGGCGTTTCTGGGCAACACTCAAATTATAAAATACTCTATTCTAATATATACACATCTACCTTTCACAGTCCCCAGATCCCTTTTTCAAAACTTTGTCAAGGTAATTCTGAAATGTTCTCCTTATTTCCTCTAAGCCACTATCATTTGCAAGCTACAAGGTTCCATACACACTGTCTCAGGGAGAGTTCCCTTATTATACAGATAGTATACAGCTTATATTCTCTTCCTCCGCAGTGTGTCAATCTCAATGTCAACTCTCTGATGGTTATTCTTGTTCTCATTATAAATATTAGACAAATGCTACAGCTCTTTGGTTGAATAAGTTATTTTCTTCTATAGAGGGAATGGACATATTCTCTCACATTCTACTGTGACTTGACCATACTTATTAGAGTGAGTGAATGTATACATGAGTGGAACTTGAGGGAAATAAAATCATCCTGTGGGGCTTCTACCTCTTGAAACCTGTGATTCTTCTACAGGTAATTGGAGGCTGCTAACATCTTATAAGATACAAATGGTGCCTTCTACTAGTATAGGCACTAGAAATAGCTGAGATTACAAGTTTATGGAGTCTACCCAATGACTTTATTCTATTTTCTTGGACCTACTTTTCTTAAGTCCTTAGTTTAATGTAAAAGACCTTTCAGGTTTGTGCCTTTGATCTTCTTTATAACTTCCACGTTTAATGATCAAATTCTGGACATGGTTTGTAATACAATCTTATCTCTCACTGTAGAGATTAACAAATTTTTTAAATGATACTATGCAGCCTTCTGGTATTAACAACATTTCCTGAATTGATAGTTGGCTAATCTAAGCCATTCTATTTCTTTATGATTTCTAATGCAGGTGAAAGAAGTAAACCAACTTCATAACTTTTATAATTACTACTATTCCCATTCCCTTTAATTGTTATGTCAATAGTATTATCGATATTTTCTCTTCTTCTCTGTATCACTTCAATCAAACACAAGTGAGATATTTAGTACTGACAATGTCCCAGCATGACTTGCTTTATATGCACACCAATGCACAGTCCAAGGTAAATCTTTGGGAGTATTCATTCAATCCTTCTTTTTTATACTTTCATTTAATTTTTATTTAATTACTTACATTCAACAAAAATGTATTGATATCTTACTAGTGCCAGGCACCATTCTCGGCTCTGGGGATAGAGTGGTGAACAAAACTGATTCAAATTGCTCACTTAATGGAGCTTATAGTATAGTGGAGGAGAAAGTCAATAAGCAATTAATTAAAACCTATCATATGGCAGATAGTAAGTAAGTCTTTTGGAGAACAATAAAGCAGGAAAAATGTTAGTGAGTACTGGGAAGTGAAGCACTATCACAATATTAAGTAAGTTGGTGGGTTTTAAGCTCATTAAATCTTTATGAAAATAAAATATTTCCCAGTGTGTATGGCAATACATTTTTGTTAACTAATGGCTTTAGAACTCAGCTGCCCAGTATGCTAGGAAAGAAACAGTGTTCTGCAATTATGAAAACTGGTGTAGTGAATCTTGATGGTACCTGTCCCATTATATGGCTGCAACCAAAAGGCATAAGTTCTAGAAAACTGGCCAATAAGGAGCTACTAGCACTCCTAAGCATAAATAATGATTTTTCAGGATGTATAAGAAACAAAGGCTCTTTTATGTGAAGTTGCTTTATCATGCTGCTCTTTAATCCCACTGGGGGAAAGACTGTTGCTCCCTAATCACGTAGCTTCACCATTCAAATGTCAAGGTACTTTTCAAAGACTCTGTTTTCTGGTTTTACATTGTCTTGAAGTGTTTCTCTAGAATAGTTTATAAACAGAGGACTATTGCTACTAGTCTTTTTTTTTTTTTTCTGTGAGTTTTCTCAGATGAGCATTGTTCCAGCAGGTTGATTCTGAGGTGCTGTTTGGCCAATTACCTTTACTACATGGCAAATGTCAGTAAGGCACAGCATCACTGAAAAGATAAGATTATCAAAAACAAAAACAAACAAAACCACAAGAAGATGAAGTAACATAAAAAGGAGCTGTGGAATGACAGAGGAGAAGAGTGTCCCCATCAGAAGAAATATTTGATTTTTATGTTAGCAAAATAATAATGGGCCAGTGTGGCTATAGCCATATTGAACAAGGGGGAGAGTAGAAGGGAAAAACAGAGTCAGTATAGTCAGATAAAATAGGGCTTTCTAAGCCTTTATGAGGACATTGGCTTTTATTCTGGGTGAAATGTGAAGCTACTGGTGTAATTTGGATGAAGAAATTACATGAATTGACACATTCATTTTTAAAGGCCACCAAGTTATCTATATGACTAATGGGTCACCAAGCTATTATAAATATAGAAGCCAAGAAGTCCTACATGAGCCCTGGGGCATTCAAGTGGTGAGAGTTTAGGAAGGTGAAAAGAATCCAGCAAAGAAGACCGAGAAGGATAAGTCAGAGAGCCAAGAAACACACAGACAGACAGACACACACCAAAAAAAAAAAAAAAAGGTTGATGTCCTAAAAGTACGAAAAGAGATTATACAAGTAGGAGGAAGTATTCAACTGTGTCAAAAATAGCAGATAAAACCCATAAAAGGGGACGAATTGGCTATTAGATTTAGCAACATGTATGCCTTTTGGGATCTTTGCAAGAGTCTAGAAGAATCTTTGGGGATATTTGCAAGAGTTTATATGGGGTTGGTGAAAGATGGATTAGTGCATATTCAAGACAGAATGTGATGAGAGAAACTGGAGAAAAGGAGTACAGAAAAAATGTTTTAGAAAAATATTACATGACACAGTGACCTGAATTTTAAATGTATTAATTATGAAAATTATTTTTTAATTAGAGAAGTATTATTATTAAATAATATTTTCATCTAAATTATATGCAACTTCAGTAAGGATAGAGTAATTTATGCTGTGGTGCCAAATGTTACACATTGGCTTTCCACAGCAAAAATGTTCATTTCACTCACTCTACTGATCAATCTCAGATACTCTGGGGACTCTTCTCCACTTAGTTATTACTCCAAAATACAGGCTAGGTGAGCAACTTTCTTTGAATCAATGTTGCCTCTTTGACAGAAGGAAAGAGAACATGGTGATATGGTTCGGCTCTGTGTCCCCACCCAAATCTGATATTGAATTGTAATCCCCAGTGTTGGAGGTGGGGCCTGGCAAGAGGTGATTGGATCCTGAGAGTGCTTTCTAATGATTTAGCACTATCCCCCTAGTCCTGACTGTTGATAAGAGTTCTAATGGGATCTGGTTGTTTGAAAGTATGTGACATCCCCCACTTTGCTCTTTCTCTCTCCTGCCAGCCATGTGAAAATGTGCCTCCTTTCCTTTCACCCTTCCACCATGATTGTAAGTTTCTTGAGGCTTCCCCAAAAGCAGAATTCTATAGAGCCCACAGAACTGTAAACCAATTAAACCTCTTTCTTTATAAATTACCCAGTCTCAGGTATGTCTTTATAGTAGTGCAAGAACTGACTGATACACATGGTATACCATGAATGTACTTTGTTTGAATTCTGATTCAAACAAGTAAACTTTATGAAACCTTTAAATATCATTTCAACACCTATTCTGTTGGGCAAAGCAAATCAAAAGGTTGTGCCTGAATTGTCCAGGACATAGATGAGCAATTGTCTCACGGAACAGGGCACCCCAGATATTTTTGAGCACTCTAATATGTGTGGCAAAAAGTATGAGATATATGTTTGCTACAATATTTCTTATTGTTCTGATTATATAACCTTGAATAAATTATATATTAATTAATTACATATTATATTAATACACCTTGAATAGGTTTATGTCATAGTATCACAAATTTGTTAAAATAGTCACTTTGGGCCTGCTAAAAAGAGAAATTCAAGGAACCTTCCTCAGTGTATTCCAATTTAGAAGCCTGGTGATCTGTTTGTTTGAGGATCGCTACAGGAGAGTCTCATCATCAGACCAGTTAGATCATCAGAAAGAACAAGTGGTAAACAAAAGTGTTACTCAGTGTGATTAAGTTCTACTTCTTAGTGTGGCATGATGATTTCATTAAATTTCACACTTCAATTTACTAATCATAATTAAGATATTTTTCAAAGAGTTAAAAATTGAGATTTATAGGAAAACTAAGTATAGAAACTAGTTAAAAGTCCTTTTTGTTTCATGAGAATTTAACAAAGGATTAGTAATTTAATTTAATGTGTAAGTATATAATAATTGTAGATGTGGATAATAACAGTTATTATTTGCTGCTATAGCATATGCTATGGTGAGTAATTTATTTCTTTTATTTAATATTCTGAGCAATCCTATGAGAATATTACAATCTTCATTTTACCGATAAGATGACTGGAATACAGAAGGTTTTGTAATTTGACCAAGTTCAGACAGGCATTCGGTGATAGATGCAGCATGCAAGCTTAGAGGTGTCCCAAGTATGTGCATATCAGACTTTGCCTTAGATATTTCCCCCAGAAATATAAGGGAGAGAAGGGAATATCTAATATTCTGCTATTAGATAGATTTACAAACTTATATATGAGAATAAACGTTTGCCTGTGTAGGTTTTCATTTATTGGTTGAATTGGCAGGTAGCCTAAATTTGGCCACCTGTTAAGCATTAGATCTAGATTGTCATACT
Source organism: Homo sapiens (assembly GCF_000001405.40). Taxonomy (NCBI): domain Eukaryota; kingdom Metazoa; phylum Chordata; class Mammalia; order Primates; family Hominidae; genus Homo; species Homo sapiens. The sequence goes on from NC_000002.12 coordinate 194,216,203, forward strand.
GAGTGTTCAAAATCAGAAGTTAGTGAATCCCAATCCTTCCTCCCGGTGAAAAATGCACCTGATGGCTTGTACACATGCCATGCATCTTATTAAGATTTTAGAACATTTTTAGTGGACCCCAAAAATCTCTTCCCTTGACCTTCTGAATCCACGCAAGCAACGTGATTTCTACTGCAAATGTGTCCATGCAGGGACATATTGCCCTACCATCCTATCTAAAGAGCTCTTCCCTAAGTCTTTCTCATATTTAGTTTTTATTTCTTCATAGCAATTTTTATTAATTTATATCATTTTAATCTCTTAATTTGTTTATATTAGTTTTCTTCCAATGAAGAATACTTTTATAAGACAAGTGACTTTTACGATCTTTTTATTGCTGCATCTCAAGTTCCTGGGATAGACTAGAATATATGGGAACATGTTACTTACTAATACTGGGCACCTCTATGAGGCTCAGAATTACTGCTTTTCCTGAGGGTTGTAGTCTTGTTAGTCACAAGGTTATCTATAGAAGAGTCAGACAACTGGAGATAAAAACATTAGCATTAGTCGTAAATAGCTAATCGGAGGATGTTGCTACAGATTTTCAGACAAAGAGTTTGCTAGTATTCTCTGATTTAAACAGATTCATCCACTACGTTTTATGGGCAATTATATAAGTATGAAATCCCTCCCAGGTGCAGGTCTTTAATTTCATTGCAGAGAGGAGGACAGAATGAGCCCTCTCTATTGGCAGACTGAACTAAAAAATAAAAGAGAACCCAGAAGGACTTGTACTTTTTCTGAACATTTTTTTCTGTAACATTAATCAGATAGATATATTACCTTCATCCTATGCAAAAAAGTTGGAAAATTAATAGGTAACGTTTCTCAGGCCGTGTTTCCTGTGGAAACCTGAGGTCATTGTGATGGATACCCTGGCCCCTGTCATCTGTAATATCCTACATCCTGGTTTTGGCAAGTTTTGTATTTCATAATTTATTTAAAAATCACAAACTTTGAGTGAATCAAAAGTATATTTGGAAGATTCAGAAGAAGTAGTGTTCTAATCAAAATGTGATTTTAGCATGGCTCAAAAATCAGAATAAATTGAATTTTGGAATGTTTTAATGAAACCTCAGTATATTGATCATAATTACAATGTACACTTGAACAGTTTCAGCAATACTAATCCTATCTGATTATTCTTAGCATATACTCTCCCTTTTTCTATCACTAGTTGTTACTTCTAGATTTTCCTCTTCCAGAACAAAATATCTGACATTCCATTTCTTTCTTACAATCCCACCTAGTCTCTTTGGTTACCTGAGCTCAACAATAACTCTGTTTATTCAAACTTTCTTAATCCTAATCATGTTACAGTGTAGTAGTATTGAACTCAATTGTTTGCTTTCCTCTTCTTTGTAAAAGGACTGTACATTCTTGCATGTAACCCTGTGACTTTCAGAGATAATTTTGTGGGAGTGTATACTTTCACCTCATTTTCCCTGGGTTTAGCCATCTGCTAAGCAGAACTGATGTAAGCCATGTCCCAACAAATACTTTAAGAGCTACTATATGGTTGGCTTTTGTTCTCTTTCCCTCTGTTACTAAAAGTCATGTCTTAAATAGGGTATGTTACTTCATCCTGGGTCCCAGGATGATAAAACTCATAAAGTAAAAAGATATTAGTTGATCCACGGCCACTAACATATAATGTGTGCAAAAACAATGTCTGTTCTTGTGAGCCACTGAAATATTAGGGTTCTTTGTTACCACAGAAGAGCTAGTGAATTAGTTCGTTCTCATGCTGCTATGCAGAAATACACAAGACTGGGTAATTTATAAAGGAAAGAGCTTTAATTGACTCACAGATCTGCATGGCTGGAGAAGCCTCAGGAAACTTACAATTGCCATGGAAGGCACCTCTTCATATGGCAGCAGAAGAGAAAATGAGTGCCTAGTGAAGGGGGAGGCCCCTTATAAGACCACCAAGTCTTGTGAGAAAAAACTCACTATCATGAGAACAGTATGGGAGAAACTGCCTACCTGATTCAATTATCTCCACTTGGTCCCACCCTGAATTATTATAATTCAAAGTGAGATTTGGGTGGGGACACAGAGCCAAACCATATCAGCTAGCTACTAAAATTTTATTCAAGCATTTTTCATTTCCTTTTAGTTTTAGAACAACCTATTTTTGGGTATGATATACAATATATTCTGTATAGTTTGCCTGTTTTTATCCATGTATGATTTATGCTCCTAACCTGACTCCTTTAGGTTATGGGTTTGAGAAAAGAGAAAATACACATATCCCTAATATAAGTCACTGGTTTATTTAATAAAGATAGAGAAACTAATTGTAAAAGAAGAGCTCACATTGCAGATCCAGTGATAGTGTATCTTTTGTGGCATTTCTCTTTCTTCCAAATCTCCTGTGGGATTTTCGGTAATTAAAGAACATCTAAAGATACTCTAAACAAAGATACTCTTGGCAAAGCTAATAAAGTCTTCCTATGCTATTTCCTTTAGTTCTCAAACTTCCATCTGCATTCACAAAAGACATGTATTAACAAACAAACATCATTATAAGGAAATCTTTAACATTTAACTTGTACTTGGGCAAAATTCAGCATCAGCAAAAGCACATCCTTATCTGAGGAAAAGAGAGTCGTTTTTCTGACATTTCTGAATATTTCTGCCTTTTACTTTGTCTCTGAATATCTGTGTTACCAAAAAGACCATTTCATAAAAAGATTCAAAAAATCATGGTATTTGTTATTAATTTCAGAATATATAAGTTCATTGAAGGAAAAAACGAATGTCTTTTTCTCATTATTTCTATTTGGTGCCTAACTTGATGCCCCCCCACCCCCAAACAGCAGGCATTCAGGAAATGTATACAAAATAAATATGTGATGTTAGTTATATTATTTACTCTATAAACATAGCAAATATTTCATAAAAATAAGCAATAATGAATAATATTTTCCAAATGTAAAACTAGAAAGATAAATATGGAACAAATTCTACACTATGACATATATTAGAAAATGTTGTTTGACTAACCAAAGGGATGGGCCTAAAAATTATAAAAGTATGGAAGAGAGTTTTTTCAAATCTTAACTATTAACTTTTGGAAAATATTTCAGTGGGCAGTCAATATGACATAATGACATGCAACGATGTTGTGGAACCATCTTTATGGATAAGACTTTAGTAAATACTTTTCTGCAATTAGCAACTACTGTTTTTAACCAAATGATACCCCTCTTTCTTAATAGAAATATGAGTCATGAATTAATTTCGTGGCCCACATATGCACATGCACACATAAATTTTGAAGCATGAAAGTCATTAGCCAAATGTGGGAAGCCAAGTAAATTTAAAACAGTATGATAGTTTGTGAATTTTTTCCACAGATGTCTCTAGTTACACTGTTCCTATTCAAGGGAAAGTTAATTCTATGTCCTCAAACAGCTTTGTTTAAATAACAAATAAAACAGAGACTATTGGCTACATCTCTGAGGCATTGGAATATTACTAATAGACTAAAAATTAATTTCCCCCTGGAATGGATATTTTTTAAAGTTTTATTAAAGCTTTACGTTATATATTGCTACCTGATATTTTATTTATTAATTCTTAGATTCTACTTTATAATGTTTTAAAATGCTAAAACAAGTCTAAATTGCCATGACATGAGGAAGAAATTCTGTTTAGCTAAAACAAGTCTAAATTGCCATGACATGAAGAAGAAATTCTGTTTATCACCCATTGTATAAAATGTTATTCTATTTATTAAGATGTGATAGCACTACTTCTTGTTTTATTTAGTTGTATTCTCTCTGATCTGTCTGCCTACGAACAGATTTACAATTAGAAAATATTCTATGTTGATAAACAACAATTTAGTATAATTTGCAGGGAATGCAAACCATTGAATGTTACATAATTTAAGATTAATATCATGATTTACTAGAAAAAGAAAATATGCCTGAAATCCTCTAGCAAACTTGAAGATAAGCTGAACTGACTCTGCTATATTACTACAAGAGGTATAGAGATAGATACAAAGACATATAGGTAGATATGGAAAGATACATAGATGATAGATAGATAGACAGATAGATAGATGAAGTTGCAATTTCTATACATTTGTATAAACTGTATCTTGTTCTTTTACCTTTGCAACCATTTTATCACTGGTATCTTGCACTCTCAACAATGACTTCCAATGCCAAAAGAATTTAATGTGTATTTAGAATTCCTTCCACAGGCCAATTATTACTTATAAATTTGTATACTTTTCTACTTGAATTAAAATCTAAGGAATTAAAATTGGGTTACTTTTCACAAAGAAGTATAAAAGAGTAAATTTGGAGCTGAGAAGAAATAAATAACAGGCATCTGTGCTTCCTAGATATTAGCAGTATCTAATTTATACTTTTATCATTTAAAAAATAATATATGTATACATTTGTGTGCATGCTTAATATCAGTGGAAAATTAAAACATTTTAAGACAGCATTAAAGATTCCATAAAATGACACTGTCCTCTTTTACATACTTTTTTCTATTTTAGTCTTTGCTTTTTATCAAATAAAATGACTGGGGAAGACAAGAAGACACTTAGACCACTGTTATTGCCCTCCTGTTTCTTTTTCTGCTAGAATGTAGAGCTAGAAGTTAGAAAAATTGAGAAGATTTTAGTACATTTTCAAAGCAAGTATTTATGTCCATCATAGAAATGTCTCAGTCACATTTCTGTCTTGCTCTTTTATAAAGTAAAAGCCATTATGTTGGCACTATAATTTGATCACTTTCTGCTTATTTTGTTTTTTTTATTGTTTGTTTGTTTGTTTGAGATGGAGTTTCACTCTCGTCACCCAGGCTGGAGTGCAGTGGCGCAATCTCGGCTCACTGCGACCTCCGCTTCCCATGTTCAAGCGATTCTCCTGCCTCAGACTCCCAAGTAGCTGGGACTACAGGCGCCCGCCACCATGCCTGGATTATGTTTATATTTTTTGTAGAGACAAGATTTCACCACGATGGCCAGGCTGGTCTCGAACTCCTGACCTCAGGTGGTTGGTCCGCCTCTGCCTCCCAAAGTGCTGGGATTATAGGCATGAGCCACCGTGCCCAGCCTCTGCTTATGTTTAATTTAATATTCTACCGAATTCTGCAAGATGATATCTAAGGCATTTTATTCAAAAAAAATGTACATACAAGTACACAGATACAGTACTTTTAAAAACAATTATATCATGAGTAATAATTTCAAATAGAAAACACACACGCCAATTATCTATAATCTCTTTTTTAAAAAACGAGAGAAAATGACTCAGTGATTTCAATTTATCCTGTGAAACTGAGTAGACTAAATTACTACTTTATTACTTCCTTCAAGTAGTTAATTAAGGTAGGTTACACACTGACTCATTATTGCAAACTAATGTTTTATTTAAATATGATGAGCATGAATCTTAAAACTATAAAAGCTGAATTCAGCCTAAGAACTTCAGATGTGTTTTGTTTCCTTCTAAGAGACCATAAAAAAGTGGTCTCTTAGAAAATTTAAATCTCAAAAGTTTCCATTAAACTAGAGATGACAAAAGAAAGTATGCCTTAAATGCTCTTGAAACTTCGTCTGTAGAAGACAAAGATTGGGTACTGGGGCTTCTTTAAGATTCAGCAGCCTTAATTTGTCATTGGTGGTGATTGTGCACAAAGGTGGGAAGATAGGGGACATGAAAATTTTGAACCTTAATGGTAAACAAAACTATCATCATTCAGAGAAAAAGTGTATGTTTCACCAACCTCTGTCACTGACAACAGAAGCTGGAGCAGAGAAATATTACTTAAAGTAATTCCTTAATCTCTAACAAAAAAAAATAGCAAGCTAGGATAGAGTTTTAACTCCTGGTCATCTAAAAAATGTATTATTTAGTTGTCTTTGTTCGTAGGTGGCTCTCCTGTTAGAATTTGTAATTCTGAGATAAAGGCCACCACCATCTGGTAGTCTCATCATCTTCAACATATGACTTCCAAAAATCTCATTTTATGGGTAATAAGCCAGTGGAAGGGGAAAGGGGATAAAGGATTGTAAGTGGGAGATAATTCAAGACCGAGGCTGGAAATAATGTGCTCCATTTTCATTCAAAATTTGTGGCTATGACTCAGTTACCTATCTCCTGATAGTTACAAAGGAGCCTGAGAAATGTAGCTGTGTGCCAAGGATGAACAAGAACTGAAGAAATAGGTTTGGTGTATAGTTACTCTACTATGGGAGCTTATATTGTATCGACCTAGAGCCTCATAAAATACAACAAAAAGAGTAAAAGTCTGATTACTAATTGTCCAATTAATTCTCTAGTTCTCTAAGTAAACAAATTTAATAAATCAATTTTTTTCAGTTTTATCATTACCTAGCTATACTTATGTTTAATATATTCTGAGTCAAATTATACTTAATTAACTCTATGTCTCATTATGACCTTGGTTCTATTTTTATAAGGTAAGAAATACATGAAAAGCCAAATACTTCCACAGAGCTTACTACATGCTGGATGCTGTTCTAAGTGCTGTACAGAACTTAGTTTATTTAGCCTTCATAACAATCCTTTGATGTAGAGACTATGATCATCCCCAGAATATAGATGAGGCTATGGCCACAGAGAACTTAAATGGTATTTATTATATGGAAAATCTTGAATTTCAAACCAAAGATATTTTGTTCCAGGGTTTATACCTTTAACAACCTTACTAGTTCAGCAAACTAACAACTTTCTTTTTTCTTTCTTTTTTTTTTTCTTAGTTCCAAGGTAGTAATTACAAATAGAATGTTAGGCATGGCTCCTTCCAAATATCAGAATTGTGAATTCTAAAATTAGACAGCCCATTAGTTTCAAAAACTCCTACTTGTTAAATATATATCAGGTTAAATACTTACAAGTAATTTTCTAGATTGTTTTTACATATTGTTTCCAAATATTCATGGAATTAATGCAAAGTTTACCTTAAGACTGCTATTTGACTTAATTACACGGTGGTATTTTGTTAAGTCTTAAAAGATAATATATCACCCTCACAGCTCTGTGATCCCAAGAAGTATTAGGAATGTGAGCAGTTTGAAGAGAGATTGTAAGAGCTGGACAGCAAACCTGACAGAGACCTGCAGCCTGAGGGCCTCACACTTAATCACAATCAGGGCCTTAGTCCTGTCTTCTGCCTTATTGTCAGGGAAAGGCAGCTTGGAAGAAATAAGAGATGATTACAATCTTCTTTTCAGGTATCACAAAGGGACTTCTGTCAGACTTCTTGTTGCATTAGAAAGAAATACCCTTTTCAGCCTGTTTTGATTCAGTCCCTGGTAAGTTCTATGTGATTTATCTTGACACATGCATTCCCTTGCCAAGCTTTACATGGTATACATAAGTACATGATCTTTTCTTCTTTTTTCAATATGCCAGTTGCAAAGCTAATTATTTGTGAAGTTACACATTTGAGGACTGGTCATAGGCCTAAAGATGACTTACCTGAAGTTTCTATTGAAGGGATGGTTTAGTTTTAATATAAGATTTCCAAGGCATTCTTTAGTAAGTTTCACTTTTTAGTTGAAAAGCAGTGTTCTGTATAAATCCAGAATATGGCTTACCCGTATCTCATTTTTGGCACTCCCCCATGACTTACCATTAATAATAACATAATAATTATTAAAATTTTAATAAAATTATTAAAATTATTATTAAAATCATGATAATAGCTGCACTTACTGAATTCTTAATATGTGTCATGTAGTGCACTCAGCAATGAAAAAATATAGAATTATAGTTTTATAATGGTAAGTTTAGTTTTGGTGGAAAGTAGACATTGTTCTGTTTGTTTTTACTATGGATATAGCTATAACACAAATGTTTCCACATAATAAAGCTAGATGAGATAAGTTATGGCAGAAAAAATGAAATAGACTAAATATTTAAACATAAGGAATATTTTTCTTTCAGCTTAGAAAAAATAAAATAGACTATTTCAACATAGAATATTTTGCTTTCAGCTGAGAAGTATGTAAAGCCTCATCTTTGAGGTCTTTAAAGTGAAAAATTACTCTTGTTATGCATAATAGCTGCTTGAAAATAAAACTAATTTTTACTTCAAAAAAGTTAAAATAGTTTCCTCCATCATAGTTTGTACTTTGATCCTTGTCATTCCTTTTTTGATAGCAACTCACCTGAACATTTTTTAATGAGGTTAATAAAAACTGCTTCTATGTATGCTGTACATATATTGACTTTTATATGCTGTCAGTAGCAGTTACAAACTGATCACTTGAGAATAAACAATGCCTTTATTGTCTTATTATTATTTCTAATTGGACGTAAGCTAGAAAATCTGATGAACGTATTTGTTAGAATTATGTGTGAAATAAAAGAAAAGAAGGATATCAATTCTAATCTGAGAAACTCTCTTATTACAATTTTCTATGAGCTTTATCAGATAGACTTTTTCCTAATTTTATTGTCTAGAGAATTCAGTTTCTTGCAGGTGCAGGCATTTAGCATAAAAGATTGAAACAATATTCAGTGAGACAAAATGTTTATGCTATAATTGTATTCTAGAAAATGACAATACCCAATTATAGTGCCTTTTAAAACTCTTTTTTGTGGCATTAGAAAACAAACATCTTACATTGGCAAGTCACATGTGGTCAATAATTTGCTATCTTAGAATATATGCTTTCTTTTCGTTATGATTTTTTATTTGTATTATAGTAAATAAAGTTATTATAGACCACTCTCCAGTTGCAAAAACTAAACCCTGAAGCCAAGCCTACTGTTTTAAATTTGCTTGCTGTGGAACTTTGAGCAAGTTCATTGAGTACTCTCTTAGAATTTTATTCTGAGGATTGATTTCATACATATAAAGTATTAGTAAAATATATGGATATAGTAGGTCTCAAGCAAAGAAAATTACTGGACAAAGACTTTGTCTATGTGCAGATATTCTTTATTTCCTACTTATGTATTAACAATGACTTTCCCAATATTTACATTTGACGTTGAGTGCGTTAGAGGTAATAAGCACGTTCTGAAAGTAAAAAATTATCAGTTTTTTTAAATTGTAGGCATGATGAATTAATGATTGTTCTGTACCATTAAGCAAACTGAAAAATCATTTTTTTATAAAAACATGAAGCAGAGATAGCAAGAGATGTGAGTAGTAATTACTATGTAAGTTGATGTACAACTGCAGATACTCTTACATACTATGTGTATGTGTTTCTGTAATTGTGAGTGCTTGGGTTGACAGAAGTTACTAGGCTTAAGGAATTGGTCAAAGAATGGAGAAAAGAGTAGGTGCTTATTTTCATAACAATCTATTTACGTAAAGCTCATCATCTTGCATTTTTATATGTTATTTCAAAAGAAGAAAGAAAAGGTAGACATTGCTTGCAACTTTGAAAAGAAGCGTATTTTGTATAAATATGCAAAAATATATATCTCATCTCAGTTTATTGTTATTATAGGCCTAAGTAAACTTACACAAATAATAGAACTAACAGTTAAGAGTGAAAATCTGAGAATGTCTCCTCGTATGCATGATGAATTCAAATCATTTAATTTAAAACATAAAAGAAAATATTTATATGAGTTAGTAGAAAGGAAAGTGCTGCAAGACTTATTCTAAACAATACTGTCCTCATACATTTTCAGTATTTAGTCATAATGAGGCCATTTCTATGGAAATGAGACTATCACTTAGTAGCTCTTCGCAATTGATTCATTCACAATAGTTCTTTAATATCAATGATATATTCTAATGCAACTTCTCAGGAGCAGCCTTTGTTGAAAGAACCACAGAGAGTGAAGAAAATAGTTTACAGAGATATAGTTCATCATATTCACAAATCATTCATATTTGTAGGTCATATTAGTAAATTTAAGATGGCATTTTATATAAGTATACTAAGCATTAATAATAGTGGATACATCTTGGGATCCAACATGTTTCTATTATAAACATATATATAGTGTATTCCATATAGTCAGAGTTTCAAAATCAGAGCAATAAAAGCATACGGATGGCTATCATCAACCTCATACTATTGTTTTTAAAAACCTCAAAAGGAAATGGAGAAGCAAATTATTTTAAATTGATATTCTGTTTACTGATTTTCATCAGTGTTATTACAACAGGTGTTTAAGAAAATGGGTTTTAATAAGTGTGAATTGGGTTTTAATTTGGGGATTTTAGTCTTTATTCAATTATTTTCAAAATATTAAGAATGTTCACTAGCATTCTCCAAAAGTGACCAATGATGTTACTTTCTATTTTAAATTATCTATTTGACCTCAATGATTTAAACATATTTGTGTTTATTTTAGTCTATCACCATTATTATTATTATTGACATTTATGTTTTCTTATCTCTGGCCAGGAGAAGCTAATCCAAGTAGGGGTCTATTTCTATCTAACATGAGCACAGTAAAATTTTAACTTTCTTGCTTTCTACTATATGTAAAGTTGTACAGTATTATTTAGATAGACTTTGTTTAATAAAAGATGTATATATAAACCCTGCTGCAACTACTAAAAATATTAAAAAACTCTAAATGTTAAATCAGCAGTGGATATTTAAAAAGGTATTATTGAAAACCACAATGAGATACCATTTCACACCAGTTAGAATGGCAATCATTAAAAAGTCAGGAAGCAACAGGTGCTGGAGAGGATGTGGAGAAATAGGAACACTTTTACACTGTTGGTGGGACTGTAAACTAGTTCAACCATTGTGGAAGTCAGTGTGGTGATTCCTCAGGGATCTAGAACTAGAAATACCATTTGACCCAGCCATCCCATTACTGGGTATATAACCAAAGGACTATAAATCATGCTGCTATAAAGACACATGCACACGTATGTTTATTGCAGCACTATTCAAAATAGCAAAGACTTGGAAACAACCGAAATGTCCAACAATGATAGACTGGATTAAGAAAATGTGGCACATATACACCATGGAATACTATGCAGCCATAAAAAATGATGAGTTCATGTCCTTTGTAGGGACATGGATGAAATTGGAAATCATCATTCTCAGTAAACTATCGCAAGAACAGAAAACCAAACACTGCATGTTCTCACTCATAGGTGGGAATTGAACAATGAGAACACATGGACACAGGAAGGGGAACATCACACTCTGGGAACTGTTGTGGGGTAGGGGGAGGGATAGTATTAGGAGATATACCTAATGCTAAATGACGAGTTAATGGGTGCAGCACACCAGCATGGCACATGTATACATATGTAACTAACCTGCACATTGTGCACATATACCCTAAAACTTAAAGTATAATAATAATTAAAAAAAATATTCTAGAAAAGGGCAATAATGAGGAAATAAAGAACAGAGGTAACAAGTAGAAAACATTAGCAGTATGATAAATTGTATTCCATTTATATCAAAAGTTGCATTGACTCTTAATGGTCTAACCATATTAACTAGATAAACATTTTAAACTGTGTAAAAAAGCAAAACCCAACTATAATAATTCACTTCAAATATAAAGAATAAATACTTTAAATGCAAAAAGAATGAAAGGATGTGTCGTGCAAATGTGATTCAAAAGGAAGCTGGAGTACCTTTAATAACATCAAAGTGGACTTCAACATGGATTATTATCAGAAATAATGAAGCAATTTACACATGAAAAATGGGCACATCTCCAAGAAGACATAACAATACAAAATAAATGTTCATCAAACAAGAGAGCTTCAAAGTACATGAAGCAAAAGCAAATAGAACTGGAAATCACCAAGATTATAGAAAATATGAGCAACACTATAGATTACAATCAACAGGCACAAAATACAATTTTTTTCAAGTCCACATGAAATATTCACAAAGACAAATATTATTTAGGGTCGTACAAGAAATGTTAATAAATTTTTAAATATTAAAATTATATCTAATCTTTCATGTGATGATAATATAATTATTCTAGACATTAATAACAGAATGATACATGGAGAATCTACAAATACTTATAAATTAAATAACATATCTCTAGATAGCCCATGGGTCAAAAAGGACATCATAAGAATAATTGAAAATATTAACAATGAAATAAAAAATACAAGCTGGAACACTAATAATATAAAAATTTAGAATATTAAATACTGATGCTAAAAATAAAGGTCCAAAATCAAATATCTAAATTTTCTTCTTAACCTGGTAAGATAAGAACAAATTAAACCTCAAAGGAGCAAAAGAAAGAGAATAATTTTAAAAGGTAAAGAATTAGTGAAGTTGAGAATGGAAAAATATGAGAAAGTTGATAAAATTTAAAAATTGGTTTTATGAAAAATGTATTTAAGTAACTAAATTCATCATATCAAAAGCCTAAAAAATGAAACCATATGGTAGTATCCATTAATGCATTAGAAGACCTTGGTAAAATTCTACAACTATTCATGATAAAAATTCTTAGCACACTATGAAATAAAAAGCTTGATTTCTTTTAGCCTGATAAAGGGCATCTATAAAATCCTCAAGCTAAAATCACACTTAATGATAGAAGATGAGATGATTTCCCTCTAAGATCTAGGAGGATAGGTTTGTCTGTTCTGACTACTCTTATTCAAAATAATAATGGTTCACAGATTTAGATGTAAAACCATAAAACTCCCAGAGGAAAACTTGGGAGAGCATCTCTGTCACTTCTTTATTCTACTTTTTTTCTACTGTTTGAATATGAAAATATGTGGATTAGTCACATCAACTTATCAAACTCTTTCTCTTGCTCTCTCCTTTTCCATTCAGACACATGGCAAATACAGCATAACTAGACACCTGTTAATCTTGGGAAAAGCTGAGGTCTTCTCAAAATTATGTCACAAAACATGACCTATAAAAGAAAGCAAATTATAATTTGGACTTCATCTAAATATAAAACTTTTATTTCACAGAGGATATTAGTAGTAGAATAAAAAGACATACCATAATATTGAAGAAAAATGTATTTGCAGATCACGTATCTGCCAAATGACTCTCATCAATAATATATTAATAATTCTCCTAACTCAAAGATAATTTCCAAAGACACTTTACCAAATAAATTGTACAGATAGCAAACAGGCAACTGAAAATATTTTCAAAATCATTAGACATTAGAAAAATGAAAAATGAAACCACAATGAATGCTATAAAAATTTATTATAATGGCAGAATTTTTTAATGGCACTATGAAGTGCTGATACAGAGCAGGTGGTTATGTGTTTCATACAATGAGCTTCAATTCCATGATTCTACTTAATTTGGAAAAACTAAAACCTATTTTCACACAAAATTCTGCATGTGGATATTGATATTGACTATGTTAATAACCTCAAAAACTGGAAATAACCCAAATATTATTTAAGTGGAGAATGAACCTACTATGTTATGCTGTAGAATGGAGTATTTATTGGCAATTAAGAAAATCAACCTATTGATATATGTAATGATATATATAAGTTCAAAATAAGGTATGAAATAAGGTGAACTCAAATGGCAACATATTCTATTTCATTTATATGACATTCATACAAAGGCAAAATTATAGGGTCAGGAAGCAAATCAATAGTTGCTAGGAGCTACAGGTGAGAGTGATTTGACTAGACAGAAGCAAAGGGGCATTGGGGAGGATTTGGCAATAGTTTTTTTATCTGCATTGCAGTGGTGTGTAGGATTACATGTTTCTTCAAAACTCACAGAACTCTATGTGTAAATGGGTAAATGCTACTTACAATTATTATACCTTAATTTTTATTTAAGGTAGAAGCAATTAGTTCTGATAATTCTCAAAGAGATAAACAAATGATCAAAGTAGAAAATATTTTATTGTTCAAGAACTTTTAGTGCAACAAGGAGTATCATTCATCTATGTGGTCCATTGTTAAAAATGACACATAGGAAAGGAGACTTGTGATAGCATTATTAGATTAGGACATGCAAAATTGCATGAATACTTATATTTTTCTTGTCTTCCTCTCCCTATAACCATACATTAAGACTAACATTGTTTTGCCTTTTCCTCATTTTCAATATTTAAACTCAAGCCTTGGAAATGTCTATATTAGTAGAAAGAAATGGACATTATTTCAAATAAAAAGAATTTTAAAGAGAAAGAAAACAGGAGAAATGCATTTCCCCCTCCTCTATACCTAGATTAGAGTATAGCAAAAGGCCATTTATGTCATGCCTTCTCCAGATGAGATTTTTTTTTTCAAACTCTGCTGTCATACAAAAGAGAAAAAGAGAAAGAAAGGAAATGCAAGGGAGAAGACCTCTGCTTTTCCCAAGATTAGCAAGCATCTAGGTTTGCTGTATTTGCCATGTGTTTGAATGGAAGAGGAGAGAGCAAGATAAAGAGTTTGGTAAGTTGCTGTGACTAATCCACATATTTTCATATTTAAACAGTAGGAAAAAAGTTGAATAAAAAGGTGATCACTTAATTGATAAGATGAAAGCCAGCATATCAGCCTTCATCTGGCAAATCATAATTGCTTTACTCTTTTTCTGGTGGTCTATTAAGATCGAAAATGAGTTAGGAGGTAATTATCAGGATGAAGGAGAATACGGGAGAAACAAACCCTTAAGGCTCCTGAGAAAGAGAGATGTGTCCTGAGGAATTTGTGATGTAATTTCAAAGCTGCAAAGATACCACTAACCTCATATATCCATCCTTTGTACTGTTATAAAGAGGAGACAGATAGGCAGGCAGTTAGGTAGGTAGGTAGGTAGGTAGATAAGTAGATAAGATAAATAGGTAGATAGAAACATGTGTGTATGAATGTGTGTGTGTGTGTGTGTGTAAAATTTCACATTGTTGAAATAAAATAGAGAAAAGCATTTTCATAAAATACTGTGCTGGATGAATCAACTTTACATCCTCTGCATCCTTCTTGCACCTGGTATTTGTTCTGTGTGTACAACGTGTATAGATTCATATTCCCTCTGGTTTCCAGTTATTTTTGGCCAGTA
Organism: Homo sapiens; assembly: GCF_000001405.40. Classification (NCBI taxonomy): domain Eukaryota; kingdom Metazoa; phylum Chordata; class Mammalia; order Primates; family Hominidae; genus Homo; species Homo sapiens. Next base: position 194,231,213 of record NC_000002.12, read on the forward strand.
GAAAGCCCTGGCAGAAGATCAGAGGGCAGTAAGAGAAGGAGGCTATATTCTATATTCTCCTCATTCTCCGCTATGGGTGTCCAAAGGACTGTGTAGTCTATCTACTTAATCACATCGTTGCTATTAAGCAGCCTTTTTCCTGCAGTTATCTTCTTTGATTCTAGTAGCAACTCCTTCTTTTTATTCCTTGCCCACATTTGAAAATAATTCTTTTGTTAAGTTCTTCTTATATTAACCATTTTGAATATATTATAATCAAGATGGCAAATAATTTAATAATTACGAGAATGTGTGTTATGGGAGAAGGGTGGGCAAATAAACTCAGAGATAGAGAAAACTAGGTAGAAAAATGGTAAGCCAGAGAGTTAAAACATAATTTTGAAAGAAACACAAAAGGTGTAACAGAGGAGAAAGGATTAATATTAACTATAAAAGAAAATGAATAATCTAAAATGAAAGAAAAATAGAAATGAAAGGGGAAATAAATATTAGCAAAGAACACTGTAAAGTAAGCAAGAAAAATTATGCAAATACTTTTTTAAACAACTAATGTATTCTCAATGTGAAATAAAGAACAAAACTGCCATTAGCTATGGAGTTAGATATTTTTCTATGCAATAAGGAGAAGAGGAGGGGGCTAAACAAATGATTCAGGTTGGTGAGTTTCAAAGCAAAAAGTATATGCCCAAAATATAATTTAAAAAGGAAATCTAAAACAAAAGACGAAACTAAACAAAAATTTTTCATCAATCAGTACCAGGGCAAAGCTATAATGGTATAAATGAAGATCACAAATTACTGAGTCAAATAAGCTAGTCTGAAAAGGCTATATATTGTAGTATTTTATCTATTTGACATTGTGGAAAATTAAAAATTATAGGGATGGTAAACAGATTAGTATTTGAAAAGGGTTTAGTAGTGTGGAGGGTTAAATAGGTGAAGAACAAAGGATTTTTAAAAGCAGTTAACTATTCTGTATGGTACTATAGTTGCTGATACATAACACTGCATTTGTCAGAACCCATATAACTTTATAGTGTAAAGATTGAACCTTAATGTATGCAAATTTTAAAAATCATTTCAGATGTCAAGGAATGCCAGAATGGAAAGTAAACTATGACATACGAATCTAATTGTATTTCAAATGTAATAATCTCACTGAATGTTGTTAAGGGAAAAACTGCTGACCTAAGTAACTGGAAATTAGTGAAGACTATAAGGCTAAAAGGCTAAAGGAACTGTACATAAGAACTATATTCTAGTTGGCAAAGTTCTCAACAGGAGGGATATGGTTGACAATGTGAACCAAATATTCCTGTATACTGGAATTAAACTATTAAGTAAATGGATGGCAGACGCTGGGAGACTAGGTCTCACTGTCAGTGTGGGTGATTACAAAGAAGCAAAAGAGGAAATGTAAAATGATCTATGTAGTACGAAATTAAAGTCAGAGACACCAGCTTGAACTCATTGCTAGCTTAATATGAATACAGATGGATACATATGCAAGCATGTATATACGTGTATTTACACAGCTTAGTATGCACATACATGTCTCATTGGTGTCCATTGCCTTATACTATACTCTGATAAAAGGAACCAAAACTCCTTGAATAAAATGGAAATTGCTGGTTCTAAGGCTGGGGCTGGGAATATGCAAGATGAGCCTGGAGCATCCTGAAGTGCCAGAAGGCAAGGACATGCTAAAAAGCAAAACGAAGTCTATGGAAGAATGTCAAAAGAACAAGTCATGTTCTTTTTCATGTCAACTGAAAGCACTCTCAATAGCCAAGTGGAAACAGTTTGAGCAAAAACACAAATAATGGAGTTTTGAATTAGAGCCAAAACTATAACATAAATATTCCTAAGTCCATACTACTATAAGTATATGATCATACAAACAAATGAAGAAAATACTCAAAAATCTTCCTATACATGAATTCATATTTTCTCCAACTCTAATCCAGTACATACGGATCATTGCAGAAGAATTCCAAATAAAATTTAAATATGGTCCTCTCAAAAAGGTAGAATGTAACTCTACTTCTTAAATGTGGATTAGCAAGGTGACTGCCTTTGAATGAGCACAGTGTGGAGAGTGAAGGGAGAAAGTAAATTCATAGTGAAGACACTGTACAAATATTGCCTCAATCAGGTGATCAAGGTTAACATCAACAGTGATAAATCATACTGATAGCATATATGCCTTTGATATGACATGATGAGAATGACACCTCTGTGATCTTTCCCACAACACTTAACTCCAGTCTAATCATTAAGAAACCATGACCCAATCAGTTATTCTGCAAAATGCCCTAGCCGTATCCTTCCAAACTGTTGAGGTCATGATAACCAAGGAAAATCTGAGAAACTGTCACAGTCTTGAGAAGACATGATGTCTGAATATAATGTGGAATCCCGGAAAGCATCCTGGAACAGAAAAGAGGTGAGGTAAAAAATAAAAAATTCTAAATAAAATATAGACTTTAATTAATATGTTAATAATGCTTCACTAATTTAAATTTAAATAAATGTACCATATTAATGTAGAATATTAATAATAGCAATACCCAGGGGCCCATATATGGAAACTTACTAGACAGCACATTGACAGCTATTCTAAAATACAAAGGTTATTAAGAACACACTCTAGGCTAAACACCAAATAAATTTTGCCTCCATTCTCGCTTGATTTTTTTTTTTTGCCAAATTTGTATATGATGGAACTGAGGTTCAGGTGAAAGTTTAGTGACCTCCTCAATGTCATGCAGTCAGTATATGAATCATCAGGATCCAAAACAAATTATTTACAAATCTAATATGTGGTATTTTTAATAGCTGTAATTAAAGAGGTTGTGTCTATGGAAACATCCTTTATTTGAAGACAGTTTTCGTTAGTCTGCAAGCAGCAATAAATATTTGACATGACAGGTGGAATGCTTATAATCATTGTGAGAAAATGTAATGAAAATTATAACACTAGAAAGTTCTAAATTAATGAATAATTTAAATGTGCCAGAATTACCTCTTATTTTATAGGATTATCACAGTTCACTGGAAAAAAAATGACAAGCCTTCTATATTTATTAGTTTTGAATGTTCCCATAAAGGTTTGAAGCAAAAACCAATACTTGCAATATTATCAGAGTTGAATGAATGTTATAATTTGCTTAGGTGTATACACTAGAGTGTCTGATTAGTTCACTTTTATAACATGAATAAAATGGTTTTTGAGATCTTTGAATTGTCATTTTTAAATATTTTAAATTCAAATATAATTTAGAAGCCTCATATAATTGGATCATATTATACTGGCTTACCATTATATGAAAAAAATGCAATTAAGGATAGAACTATGGATGGTTACAACTTTAATGTACCTAACGTCATTGCTAAATTTAAACTCATGCCTTTTACTTTGATTTTTTAAAGAAAGTAATCCGTTGATTAATGATGGTTGAAATTTATTTTCTCCTTGCATCACCCTAATTTTTGAAAGTGATAACAGGTCAGAAAACATCTGAGTAGTTTGTGAAGAAGCCAATAACTTTTATGAATACATTAAGAAGGAAAAAATTTCAATATATCGCTAGAATTTAGTGAGAGACTGAAGTGAGGCTTTCAAATGCTTTCTTCCAAAGTTGCTCTCATAAAAACAAAGTAAATACTATAAATATTTGTATTTATGATACTATGGTCTTTTGAATTTTGAGATATATGTTTGAAACTAGTGTCTCATGAGCAATTTAATTGACAAATGGGTATATACACTAAGCTACCCTGAATGTCAACAAACTTGAGTTTGATTCTCACATAAGCTGAAAATTATAAAAAGGTTTTTATAACTTTGTCAACCTTTTCTCTCTACATGAAAATAAATGGTAATTAGTCTTCTAGCTTAGTAATACCAGTTAGTATTATAGCTAAAGAAAATAGCTAATAGTACAAAAGCATATGAAGAGAGAACAGTTCAAATTTAAGAATTAAAAAAATGTTTTCTAAATTTCTAACAATTGACTTAAGCAATTTTAATATTGGAACTTTTTAATGATATTCATAAGCATTAGACAAATAACACACATTTACAAAATCTTCAGGTAAAACAGCCAAGAAAGTCATGTCCCTTTCTGAGGATAATTTATTAGCACTTCACCTATGACAGTCACCAACATTAACTTTCAAATGAACTTTCCTAACTGCTAAAAATAGTGGGAACAATTTATTCCTGTAATGATTTTGCAAGTTGAGTATTCATTTAAATATCCATTATAATACATTAAAGATACAAACAGATATTAACTCATACAGCCAATTCTTTGTGTGTCCAGACATATTCAGCAACCCTTCTCAAAGATTCTGGATTAAAAAATTATGTAAAAGAAGATGTATTATTATATAAGTGGTATTCTCTATAAACAAGGCAGCTAAAATATTACCTATGTGAAATTCCCATTAAATTTTGAAGAGCCAGTATTCATTATTTGTCTTGTCATTTAATTCATTCATTAATTGTGACCTCTATCTCAACATGATGATGTTCACAATGGCATATGCCATTAATTATGTATGAGATTCATTAATTACTTTCCACTACATTTTCCAACTATACAAATAGCTTCTTTATCTAATGAATATTTCATAGGAATAAATATTAATATCTACAAAAAGGTATATATGAAGAAATTCAATATTGTATGGAGGTGAAGTGTTGCCATTATATTGCCTTTCATTTATAAAATGTATAAGGTTTGTCAAACTGGTTTACATTGTGTAACACATTTAAAAATGTGAGCTATGAAGTAGGAGTTATAACTATTTCTATTGTACCAAATGGAACAAAATCATAAGGGAGGTGGTTGGAGAAAGAAGCAAAAAAGTAGAACAGTTGAGCAAGTACTATATAAGGCAAGCTCTATTAATAAGGAAATATATTTGGAGCCTTATCAAAATCTTTGAAGAGCTGGATATTCTGTGGGAGCATATGAAATGATGTAGTCTCTCTACTGAGACGAATCCAGTGGACATAGTTTTTAAAGGCTTCACTTTTAGGTTCTGGCTTTGAAACTCCCCTTTCTCTATCTTACCTTGTTTATGAAGTAAAAAAGTATTTTAATATACTCAAATGAGCACTATTTTTTATGTGCCCACAAAGAATGGAAGGAGAGTATCTGAAAATGCGGATATAGCAAACTGAGAGTCTTTGCCCTTCCATTATAAATATAGACAGCATTTATTAAGTTATTGCCCTGTATAAAATTCTGTAAGGTTAATGTAGTCCTCTGTTCTATGCTGCAGTAAGGAGGTTAATTCAAGACAACTAAGCTTTCAATTTTGTTACAAAGTGAAAGACATTAGTCATAATCATTAAAACCAGCTAATGGAAAAGCAATGCAGTTATTACTTGGCATTAACAAAAATTTTCTTTAAAATGATAGAGTCTGGACTATAATAGAATTTTACTTAATCTTCTTCTTATTGCCTTTACATTATAATATCCCCATTTTCTTAATAATTTAATATGATGTACTTGTTATTCTTTGTGATTTCTGAAACTAAAAATTGAGCTATAGAATACCACAAACTTAGTTCAGTCTTATTATCAGTTCTTCGCTGAAACTGCTGTATCATTAGAGAGATTGAGGGTTGGAGTAAAACAAAGAAAGTTAAACAGTAATCTACAATTTATTAGCATTACAATGACTGATGTAATATTCTTTTTAAAAACCTGTGAATGAAGTATATGGCTCAAAATTATAAATGCAAATTTGTGTTGTTATTAACTCAAATCTGTGCACTCATTATAGATAGCTATTTAATGTCTGTCCCCAGCACTTGGTGCAGTTTTAATGGAAAATTTTACATCCTCTCACACATATAATTTTTATTAATTTTACGGTACAAACATTCTAGGCATTAGTTCATTTCAAAAGAAAACTATGTGCCAGAGTAATCAGAACCAATGAAAACAAAAAATAAACAAACATTTGAAAGAGCATCTATGATAAATACCTAGATATTAATCATTATGATAGTCATTTAAGGAATTCATCTTTTTATTGACTAAGGTACAGAGTATGTGATGAACTATTTTCCACTGTTTCAGTTATAGATTTATTGTAGGACATGTCATGATTATTCTTTAACAAGAAGAAAGCCACATTTTGTCATGTTTAAAATTATGCATAAAGGAATTCTTAGAAAATGGTGGTAGACAGAAGCCTAATTCTGAATCTTCCCAAATCTGAATATAAAGATATTTAGAACACCAATGGAAAATATTTGCAATAAATTTGATTGCAATGTATCTCTTCAAAACACACATACAAACAAATAGGGACAAACCAGTAAGTGCCACAAGGGTCGTCCAGTATCAATATCTGAGTAGAGAAAAATAAAAAGGGAAGTAATGGGACAAATGAAGATCCCAAGAACAGGAGAAACTAAAAATAGCCATCAGATGCTTATCAGAGCTAAAATGTAACCACACGCCTTGTTCTTAGAAAAACAATGTCATCTCTTCCATTATAATGTGAGAATATGAAGAAAAAAGTCTTTAGAATCAGTTGTCAAGCAGTTCTGTGTTCCTATGTCACTGTGGATAAAGCCATCTGACGAGCTTCTACTATTTAATGTGTTATGTTTTCTTGTTAATTTTCAATAATGCATCAGTGTACATTCTTCTTGCTAAATCTTCGTACGTATCCATTATTTATCTCCTTAGAGTAACCTATTCGATTCTGTGTTCTTGGATCAAAGATATTCAAAACTTTTGATACATTATCTCTCAGCAGTTTAAAACTGATTTATACTTCATGCAGCAATGCATCAAAATACCATGCTTCCTAGTTACGCAAAAAAGTGTCAATATACATCTGCTGACTAAATATGTAGATAGATGGTAAGTAGAGAGAGAGAGAGAGAGCGCGCGAGAGAAAGCAAATACAATTAGTTTCAGACCAGAATCTTTGGGAATTATTTCAGTCATAAAATTACATAACACTACTAATCTTAGAAATAAAGCCAGCATAAATCTCTCCCCTTTCCTTCTTAGTTATTGAAAATTAGAAATTTCAGCCTTTTCATGTCTTCGTACAAAACTTTTTGCTTTTTAATATAAGCTATATTGAAGTTTTATTTGGGGGTTCCAATGTAAATAAGATTATTATTGTTTAATACATCTATGTAGCTGGGAGTAAAAATTTTCATTATTAAAATTCATTTCCCTTTTTTTTTTAACACTACCAAATAAGTTTTTAAATCCGTTATTACCTAAGATGGTACAAATACTTAACAGTAGGATATTTTGAGACAAGAGTTTTAAGGGGATCACAATTGATAGAGTGAAAGTTAAAAAATGTTGAGTAGATTTGTTAAAGTAGTATTTCACAAGGCACTCCAAACAAGTCAAAATATGCTAAAATACTTTTATAAAAACTATTTTCATGGTTTTAATACGGTACATATGAATGCATCTTTCTTTCTGTTTTAGTCGATTAAGCTATAGAAGTAATATAGTTTCTTAGACAAATAATGCAGCATGCTACATTATATAGATTTTCTATCAACAAATAACACATAATGTTATATATAAAGAAAATTATAAATTATAAAATTCATATGATCAAGCATTTCTTCATGGATTGTTTCTTTTTCTTTCTCAGTATTTAAAATAATACCTATCAATGTAATTTATAGGATAAAATTATTCTATTTCTAATTTAACTAACGTATTATACTTGACATGATATATGCCAAACTAATTTATAAATTTTACTGGGTTGTAGTACCGGTTACGTGACAGTATTAAAATGTTATTTCTAGATGCCTTATCTGAAAAATTGTCCAATCAATTGTTCTGTTTCTTAAGTAGTCAAGGGTCTGTAATTAAAAATTTGCCTACAACATTCTCTTTTGAAATATGATAGGTTGATTCTCTCAAAATTAATTTTGTCCCACTAGCTTAGAACCTGCTGTCAAAACTGGCAGATCATAGGATTTAAATTGAAATCTTATTAAACTGAAAATTCCTTGGCCCCATACCTCCTACTTCTGTTGGAGTTAATGTGTCTGAAATAAGGATAAACATTCAAGTTGTCAAAAATCCAAATGGTATTTACTGGTCAGCCAGATTTGAGCACGATAGACTTAATGGAGTATATAAATAACACATGTGCCAAGTGGCACTCTGCATGTAAAAGAAGAAAGAAAGGAAGAAAAAATGACCAATGAGGCCTGTTGCTGATTCCATATATCAAATCTAGAGAAAAGGAAGTGAATTTTTCCTTAGAGAGGGTTCTAGGTGTAAGTACTTAGATCTGAGAGAGAAAAAATCTACACACATGCACATACACAAGCTCATACACACACACACACCTGCACACACACACACACACACACACACACACACACACACTTTGAGGTTGGGACCAAATAAAATAACTCACTTTGTCTCAGTAAAAATTTATTGAAATTATCAGACACCCAGAAATTAAAGCAGTATGAGGATTCAAGAGCAGAACCCAATAAAGACATTTAAAGACACAAAGCACTAAGATGGTTATGATGCTCTTAACCAAGTAATTAAAAATAAAAATAATAGTCATCATAAATGTAAGATTATTTAAGTTCTAATATCTTATATGTGTGTACTGTTTTCTGAAATATGAAATATAAAATGATTTTTTATTAAATACTATAGGCCACAATTTATTCAAATATTTTTCTTTGTACCTTCTTATTTCTTTGATTGACTCCAATTATACCTATATTAAGGCTTTTACTAATTCTCTATTTATTTTGTGTGTCATTTTTCTCTTTTAGTTTCATTTTAAATAGTTTCTATGGCTTTATCTTCACATTTACTAATTTTTCCTTCTGCAATGCCCAATCTGTCATGAAACCTCTCTAGCAAAATTTTCATCGCAGCTATTGTAGTTTTCACCTCTAGAAATTTGTATATTTCTTTGCCTTCTATAAAGGCAAAACTCATTAAATCTTATACCTAGCTTTTTGAACTAATAGAATAATATTATACCATTTGTTTTTATGGTCTTTTCTGCTTACCCTAATCTGTGCAGAATCAATCAAAACCAACCCAGAACTGACTGAGTTCTGGGTTGGTTTTGACTGATTCATTTTCATTTTTCTTCTCATTCTTTGTGGTAGTTTCCTGGTTTTGGCATACTTGATGATCTTTTACTGAATGACAAATATTGTGAATCTTACTTTGTTGGTGCTGGATACTTACGTATTATTATACATGTTCTTGAGCTTTGTTCTGGGATATATTTCAATTGCTTGGAAACAATGATGTTATTGCTTTTAAGATTTTTCAAGCTATACTGAAGTCATATTTGTCGAGAACTTATTATCCTTAACTACTAGTCAAAATCTTGCTGATACTTTGAGTACTAATGTCTTATGAATTGTAAGGTTTTCCAGTCAAAATGATGGAAACACGGCCTCAGATAAAATTTGTGACCCTGTTTGAGCTTAATGTACTGTTTTTTATAAGCATTTTTGTGATTCTTTCTGCAGCCTAAGTGATTTTCTCCCACACATGCACATATGGTTTGGCTCTGTGTCCCCACCTACATCTCATCTTGAATTGTGATCCCCGTAATCTCCACGTGTCATGGGAGGGACCTGGTGGGAGCTAATTGAATCGTGGGGACAGTTTTCCCTATGCTGTTCTCATGATAGTGAGTTCTCATGGGAACCGACAGTTTCTGTCTGGCATTTGCCTGTTGACATTCATTCTCTCTCCCGCTGCCCTGTGAAGAGGTGTTTTCCACCATGATTGTAAGTTTCCTGAGGCCTTCCTAGCCATGCAGAACTGTGAGCCAATTACATATTTTTTTCTTTATGTACTACCTAGTCAAAGGTATTTTCTTATCACAGTATGAGAATGGACTAATACACATACTCTAATCAGTACTCTGCTAAATATCCTAAGAAGGCCTTATACAGATCACCAGAGTGCTTTCTCTGTGCAACTCTTCTCCTCTGTTATTCCTTTCTGAGAATTTTCTGCTTGGGTTATCTTCTGTCCCATATTCTAGAAAGTCTTTCATGATAGTAAGCTAAATTTCTAATTTTTCAGATACCACTATCCTTCATTGACTGATGACTGTATTGGTCCGTTTTCACTCTGCTGATAAAGACATACCCACGACTGAGTAATTTACAAAAGAAAGAGGTTTATTGTATTTACAGTTCCATATGGCTGGTAAGGCCTCTCAGAAAAGAGAGCTTGTGGAGGGAGACTCCCATTTTTAAAATTATCAGATCTCTTGAGACCCATTCGCTATCATGAGAACAGCACAGGAAAGACCCACCGCCATGATTCAATCATCTCCCACCAGGTCCCTCCCACAACACATGAGAATTATGGGAGCTTCAGGATGAGATTTGGGTGGGAACACAGAACCTAACCATATCAGTGACCAATCTTAAAAATGATTGTTTCATATATTTTATTCATTTTCTAGGTGTTTTCAACCAGAGGAAAATACACTCCCTATTGCTACAACTTAACTCTGAGCATAATTTTTGATAAAGAAATATTGAAAATAAAATAAAGAGCAATGTAAAAGGTAAAATCTGTGGGTTAATCTTAAAAGAAAGATTGACAACACAAAAATAAAAATAATGTGTTGTGGACTTTGAAATATATTTTAAAAATTGAAAAATACAATAAAAATAGCATGCATGTCAAAAATGGTCAATGAATGCCGTTAAGTATTCTAAAATTATTTTGTTTGGGGAGATGTAAATGTACCATTAATATTAGACATTCATAAGTCAAAGCTGCATGCTGTAATCTGGTCCAGAGTAACATTAAAAGAATTATAGGCCGGGTGCGGTGTCTCACGCCTGTAATCCCAGCACTTTGGGAGGCCGAGGTGGGCGGATCACGAGGTCAGGAGATCGAGACCATCCCGGCTAAAAACGGTGAAACCCCGTCTCTACTAAAAATACAAAAAATTAGCCGGGCGTAGTGGCGGGCGCCTGTAGTCCCAGCTACTTGGGAGGCTGAGGCAGGAGAATGGCGTGAACCCGGGAGGCGGAGCTTGCAGTGAGCCGAGATCCCACCACTGCACTCCAGCCTGGGCGACAGAGCGAGACTCCGTCTCAAAAAAAAAAAAAAAAAAAAAAAAGAATTATAAAATCATGTATAAATTCCAAAGTAACAGAGAAAAAACATGGTATAATAATAAATACCTAGCTAATGCAAAGGAATGTAAAAGTGAGGAGGAAAAAAATAACATAGGACAGGCAGCACAGAAAAATTACAGAATAATACAGATTATTTAAAAGTGAGATTTAAAAGTGAGATATTAGTTACATCAAATATATCTCTGTTAAGTGTTCCAATTAAAACCCTAGCATTGCTAAACTGGATTATAAACATTAAAAAACATGATTCCACTATTTATCTAAAATAAGTGGCTACTAAATGTATAAAAATAATATTTGGAAAATACATAGTTTGAAAATATTAAGAAAAAAAGATAGTATAGCTATATTAATTACCAAAGTAAACATTGAGTCAAAAAGTATCGCTGGAGATAGAGAGGAACATTTCATTACGATAAAAATTTTAACTCACCAAGAAGGAAACAACAGTTCTAAATTATTAAGCATTTTTTATAAACATGACCTTCAAAAATAGGAAGTGAACACTGGAAAATCTACTAGAAAAAAGTAGACAAAAAAATTATGCTAGGGCATTATAACACATTCCTTAGTAACTTGATAACAAATAGTTTTTAAAAAAGTAAGAGTATACAAGATTTGGAAAACATGGTTAACAAATTTTATTTAATGTCAGTACAGAGAACTCTCACCAAGCACAGAAAACCGATTCTTTTCAAGCACACTAGATAATTTTTAAGAAATCTTTCATATACTGTATCATAAACACATCTCGATGCATTTCAAAAGTTGATGTATTTAACTAGAAAAAAAGTAAAACACACATAACTTGAAAACACCCTATATTGAAATTTGAAATACATTTCTAAATAATACATAGGTTAAAGAAATAATACAATGGAATTAGTAAACAATGTGAACTGAATGATAAAAAGGTCTTAAGCAGCAAAGTTTGTGGAATGCAAGACTATAGCCTACTTAGGAGGAAAACCAAATGCTTCCTCAAATGCAATATTATAAGAAATGCTAAAAATATAAAATACATAATATAAAATACCAAAACATTAAGCGTAAATTGATTATTTTAAAATAATGCAAAATTTTAAGAACATTCTTATCAATTAATAATCCCCAGTATCAATAAAATTTCAAAAACCTTATATCAATGTCTCTCTATATGCATAAAAAGCATTTCATAAAATTCAACTTTAATTCATGAAAGTAAAAGTTACTGGGCAGGCACAGTGGCTCACATCTGTAATCCCAGCACTTTGGGAATCCAAAGCAGGTGGATCACCTGAGATCAGGAGTTCGAGATCAGCCTGACCAACATGGTGAAACCCCGTCTCTACTAAAAACAATACAAAAATTAGCGGGGCATGGTGGCAGGTGCCTGTAATTCCAGCTAATAGCGAGGCTGAGGCTGGAGAATCGCTTGAACCCGGGAGACGGAAGTTGCAGTGAGCCGAGATCGTGCTATGGCACTCCAGCCTGGGTGACAGAGCAAGACTCCGTCTCAAAATAAATAAATAAATAAGTAAATAAAATAAAATAAAAGTTACCAAACTAGAAATCAGTGGATATGTTCTTAATCTGATAAAGGGCATGTACAAAACAACCATATTGAAAAATATATTTAGACATGATGTTGAATGCTAAAAATGTGAAAACATTATTTGCATTCTATTATGAAAAGAAAATTGTCTATCTTGTCTAGATACATGTCCAGGTAAGAGAGACATTAATGAAGTTAGTAGTTTCTGGCACATATATTACAACTTGTAAAACAAATTAGAAAAATTATCCTCCCAATTATAGTTTTTATTAGAAATAAATTTGAACATGTTATCATTTTACTTTTCTTTTGTGACCCTGCCTGTTTGTGTGCTTTTATCAGCTTTCAAATGTTTCCTAATATAAATAATTATAAAAGCACATGAAATATAAAACTCTATAAAAACTCTACGTATTAGGGTAAATCATTATTTTTGTTATATAAATTTAGTTTATTTTGTTAATTTCTGTTTTTAGTTTTAATATTCTGCTTTAATAGTTTTATATTTTTAATATTCAGTTTCAATATTTTATTAAATTTTATTATTATTAAATAATTTTATTTTATTTTACATACAATATTTAATGTTTTATATTCTAATATTATTTTTAATATTGTTTTTCTATTTTTAATATTCTGTTAATTTCTGTTAATTTCCATTTTAATTTATGTTGTATTTTATTTATTAAATTAAGCAGTAATCTGAATTGAAAGTCTCTTTTTCATTTTGTTTCTATTTTTTTTGAAATTGTGACTGTTTCTAAAATGTATTTCTAACCCTAAATTCGTATTCACTAATAATTATTCCATCAATTTATTTTATATATACAGTATTTCGGTGTACACTGTAGGTTTTAGGTCTAATAATTTGTTTTTTTTCTTATATTCTAATAGTTACTTTTTATAACTTCACTTTTAATGTAGCACATTCCCTCCAGTAAGCAAACTTTACAATATTCAACTTTATTATAGAAACTAATGTATTTAGGGGTATTTTATTCTTTCCATCTGTATAAAATTTAAATGGTGTCCTTTGAAATGTTTTGTGTCCTTTATAGATATTTTTGGGGAAAATATTATACTATAGTAGGATTCTGTCATTATTAAGTGGGCTAACATTTCAAACAATATTCTCTTTCTTATTTTTATCTGTTCAATTTTAATTAAATGGTAGGAGATAAGTTGTGCATGGAAATGTGGTTTTTATTTCATATTAATCAGTTTCAAAAAAGGCCTCTTTTATAAATTTCTAGTTAATATAGAATTAAGCAAACTCTTTCTATGCTATTTGGTGAACTCTTACCTGTAAACCTTTGACATTTTCACAATACACATTTTTTTTCCTTTTCTTCAAAAGTTGCATTAGTGAGGTTTTGGTTAGTTGACCCTGAGAAGTCAAATTAAATTAACATGTAAAGGAAAGATTTTTAGTACAGTTGATCACATAATGAGTACTAAATATTTATAAATGTACATTATTTCCAGGTTTATTTTTGACAAATTTGTTCCTGAATATACTGTAAGTTTATTTTAGACATTGTCCATTTATCCAAAACTCTAACTCTACCTTAGAATCAGCTTTATTAGAAATTGCTCATGCTTATTCAAAATGCAGACATATGTCTCCAATATCTTTTGCATGATAAATTCTTCAAGAGAGACACATTCCTTCTCCTTTTGCACATCCTACTCCCTTTGCTCCATCCTTTATCCTTAGCTCTGAGCACAGCAGCAGACTATCAACCTAATTACCAACAACTTTATAATATTGTTAGCTTTGCAGTCTTACAAATGGCTTAGAGTTTGTTGGAGTGATAATGCCATCACTGCAGATTTGTAAGGAATAACAGAACTAGAAGTTGAGATTATTACTGGGCAATATTAAAAAATGTTGAAAAGAATGAGAATCAATTTAGATCAGTGAGTACAGAGTTTAAAGACTTTCAGTTCATCTGTTATTATTTAATATGAAACTAGTACTATTGGTTATCCTCTCTTCCTGAATGCCTTCAACATAAATTTACAGTTCAAGATATTCATGTGATTAACTGTCCCTTAATCACTAATTGAAATGACTCAGGTAAAGCTCTAACCCTAATGTCTGGCATATTATGTCCTTTCAAAAAATAATGTACATTTATAAATAATATACATTGTTATTATTGGAAATAATATACATTTATAAATATTTAGTACTCATTATGTGATCAACTGTACTAAAAATCTTTCCTTTACCTGTTAATTTAATTTGACTTCTCAGGGTCACGTAGCCAAAACCTCACTAATAATGCAACTTTTGAAACTTTCAAAAATATTATTATCTTTCTACTATTCTTCTTATCTTTTTATTATTCAACATTAGTTTGGTTTGGTATTGTTTGGAAATGCTTTGGGGAATTGATAAACATTTGCATTCCTCCCTAGCCACAGTGGTGTTTAGGATTTTTAAGACACTCTCTCTCTCTCTCTCTCTCTCTCTATATATATATATATATATATATGTTTTTGAAATCGAGAAATCTATGACTATTCCTTTAATATATTGCATATCATTTACACATTAGTGCAAATTTCTGGTTAAAAAGTTGTATCACTTAATCTCATTAAAGTAAATCTTCATTAGAATATATTTGACCTATGGTACTTTACAGTAATACAACATGTTTTCTAAATTTTCACTGCTATATTCCTCATGATATAGTGCATGGTGGTGAAGTATACCATAACAGCTAGTACGGTTCAGTGTCATGACCTTAATTCTTGTTAAGGCATCAGCAGTTTTAGCCATTAGTGTTTTTGCCCCATCACTGCAATGAGCAACATACTGGAAAAGTACGTAATTGTAATTGCTAATAGAATTTTGGTCGTATGAACCCCTAACAGAGAGTCTAGATGACTCCACAGGTTCTTAAGATTGATCATCTTAAGGAAGTTCTTGGGTCACACTTTGAAATCAGTTGCTTTGTATTATTAATTACAATAATTGGTAAGTCTCTATCTACTTCAACATATAAATTTAAAGTTGACTGCCAATACACATCTTTAGGCAACTTAGCTCCAATTGCATTTTAATAGAATTTCAATGATATAATAGAAGCTACATCTATATAAGTTTTAAAGTATATTAAAGGTAATGCTAGAGGACTTTTAATTCAGGATAAGATATAGTCTATTGTTCTGTCTTTTGAAACTAAATAATTTTTATATGAAAGGTGTTTATGGAGCTATGGATTTAAATTCTAAATACTGTAGATGATAAATAGAAAAGAAGATATTGATGACTGACACAAATTTAAATTTTGGTTTAAATTAAATAGCATATACAAACACACACTTCTTTATAACACTGGGAAATCAAATATATAACCTGATACATTAAAATATAGATTAATATTATTTAAATTTAATTGTACTAGCAAAACCACTTAAGTAATATAATTTAAAAAACAGTTTCTCATTTACAGGGCATCGTTTTATCTTTTTACATGAGTTTTATATCATATTAAAATCGTTTTTAGGCTTTAAGTGATTTTATTATAATATAATACTTGTGTAAAAAGATAAAATGTTGGGCAAGGAATTTTTTTCTCTATTCTTATTGATAATAAATATATTTAGAAACTGTTCCATAACTAGAAAAGGTACAATTTTGCCCTTCTGGAAAATTATTATCATTACCATTTAGGAAATGGAGTTATGCATATCTCTTAAAAGATTTCTATAGCACTTTAAGTCAATAAAAAATATTATTTGAAAATTTGTGTCAACTTAATGCATTGGCCAAAACACTATAATCCTTTGATATATAATTAAAATAAAGCACTAAACATACAGTGTTAATAATTGTGTAATTATTAAAAGACTAAAAAGGAAAAGAAAATTTATAGAAAAAAACTTGCTCTTGAAAAGTAATTTTGATTAAATTTTAGTTATCACAATTTGTTTTGACAACACACAAAATTCTGCCAATAGTCAACACACATTTCAGGAGAAATATGTAGATAATTATGATGACTTCCTGAATAATTAACCCTGAAATCCAGAGTGTCATCCTTTGACATGAGTTCTAATTGTAAAGGAAAAGTGATGGAAGCTGACAATTATGCAATAAGATGACTTAGAAAGCTTTTTTATCATAATTAATCGTTGACCTTAATCACAGCATCTTGCCATTTTTGTCACGTATCTTTAGAATTCAGTAAAAATCATGAGGATGATCTGTGTCTGTGATCAGAATATTTATTCAGGAAACACTAAAAAGAATACTATGTAAAGATGCACTTTTAAGTGTGAATGTGAAAAAGAAGATGATTGACTGTCTTAAGGAAGCTTAAAATCTAGTAGAAGAGGTCATACAACAATAGACACATTATTCCTAACAGAAATAATGTAATAAGTGGCATACAAACGATAAACATTTTGGAATTATTGATGTGAGTAGATAATTACTTCCTGCTGAGGAAAATGGGGGGGATTTGGGGATAGTATATGTTTGTGATTATTAAAAATGTGAAGATGTAAACAAATTAAAGAAAGGTAAAATCAAAGTGAAAGGAACAGAACCAAGAAAACTTGAGTACTTTCTAGAAATTGTCTTTGTGGATGGATGCATTATAGTAAGAGAAAGGCAAGAAAACCACTTTGCTGTGAAGATTGGTAGATCTTGAATGTTGGGATTATCTCTCAGTATATTGTTTAATAGACAATGTAAGAAAATAAGGGGGAAGAAAAGTTGTGGCTTTATATTTAATTTAAATAATTAGTTTTATGTCATTATCTTCATATAATTAGTGTCTCTGTGAATTATACACAGAAACTAATTATTCAGCATTTACTTCCAGGATGACTTCTGCCTACAGCTTTTAAAATCTGCTGTTAGCCCACAATTGACTATTGTTTCCAAGCATAATCACCAGTGGGTAATATTTGAAAGACATTGTTAGACAATTTACAAAGAGCCATGAAGAATTTCTACTTACTGTTTTTTAATCTTCATATTTTTTAAAAATGCAGATTTAATATGAGCTAAATTTTAGCCTTTACCATAGGTTTTTCAGCCAATGGAGAGATCCAGAAGCAACTTTGAATTACATTTTTTTCTATACCTTTTTCCACTTGGTTATTTTAACAAATCCTTTTGAACTTTACAATACTTTTCAAAATCACATCTAGGTTCTTAAATTTCTAATACACTTGTATCCTGAAATATATATATATATATTATATATATATTTAATATATATATTATATATATTTAATATATATATTATATATATTAAATATATATATTATATATTTAATATATATAATATATATATTTAATATATATAATATATATATATTAAATATATATATAATTTTTCTTGAGCTTCTGAAGAAACTCACATTTTGCCTAGATAATGCTTTAGGAAAGATATTTGTTCTTCTTTTCCTTTAGGTTTATTCAACTTAAGATTATGAGACGTAACTTGAATTTTGAGGTTGTATGAGACCTCATATAAAATGTAGCGAAACTATAATA
The DNA here is from genome assembly GCF_000001405.40 of Homo sapiens. Lineage (NCBI taxonomy): Eukaryota > Metazoa > Chordata > Mammalia > Primates > Hominidae > Homo > Homo sapiens. Next base: position 194,249,446 of record NC_000002.12, read on the forward strand.
CTGAGAAATATTGGTTGAGTATATATTTCTATAATTGCATAAATGAGAGATCAAGTAGAATTGCATATAGGAATGATTCTACATATTTTCTGCTGATGTTTACCATATAAACCCTCTTACCTTCCATACTCCTATGTTATATCTCAAACAACATAAAAGTTTCACAAGGGCCTTTTATTTGTCAGTGATATCCTACCTATTTTTAATACTTTCTCTTCCTAAGCATTTTGTTTTATTTATTTTATTTTATTTTATTTTATTTTTTTATTTTTTTGAGACAGAGTCTCACTCTGCCACCCAGGCTGGAGTGAAGTGGCGTGATCACGGCTCACTGCAACCTCCACCTCCCAGGTTCAAGCAATTCTCCTGTCTCCACCTCCCGAGTACCTGGAACTACAGGTGCACGCCACCATGCCTGGCTAATTTTTGTATTTTTAGTAGAGATGGGGTTTCACCATATGGGTCAGGCTGGTCTCAAACTCCTGATCTCAGGTGATACACCTGCCTCGGTCTCCCAAAGTGCTGGTATTGCAGGAGTGAGCCACCCACTACATCTCTTTTATTTTTATTTTTACTATTATTATTTTTTTATTATAACTTTAAGTTCTGGGATACATTTGCAGAACGTGCAGGTTTGTTACATAGGTATACACGTGCCATGGTGGTTTGCTGCACCCATCAACCCGTCATCTACATTAGGTATTTCTCCTAATACTATCCCTCCCCTAGCCACCCGCCCCCTGATAGACCCCACTGTGTGATGTTCCTCTCCCTGTGTCCATGTGTTCTCATTGTTCTACTCCCACTTATAAGTGAGAACATGCAGTGTTTGGTTTTCTGTTCCTGTGTTAATTTGCTGAGAATGATGGTTTCCAGCTTCATCCATGTCCCTGAAAAGACATGAACTTATTCTTTTTTATGGCTGCATAGTATTCCATGATGTCTATGTGCTAGATTTTCTTTATCCAGTCTATCATTGACGGGCATTTTGGTTGGTTCCAAGTCTTTGCTATTGTGAACAGTGCTGCAATAAACATACGTCTGCATGTGTCTTTATTGTAGAATGATTTATAATCCTTTGGGTATATACCCAGTAATGGGATTGCTGGGTCAAATGATATTTCTGGTTCTAGATCCTTGAGAAATCACCACACTGTCTTCCACAATGGTTGAACTAATTTACACTCCCACTAACAGTGTAAAAGCGTTCCTATTTCTCCACATCCTCTCCAGCATCTGTTGTTTCCTGACTTTTTAATGATCGTCATTCTAACTGGCATGAGACAGTATCTCATTGTGGTTTTGATTTGTATTTCTCTAATACCAGTGATGATGAGCTTTTTTTCATGTCTGTTGGCCACATAAATGTCTTCTTTTGAGACATGTCTGTTCATGTCCTTCTCCCACTTTTTGAAGGGGTTGTTTGTTGTTTGTAAATGTGTTTAAGTTCTTAATAGATTCTGGATATTAGCTCTTTGTCAGATAGATAGATTGCAAAAGTTTTCTCCCATTCAGTAGGTTGCCTGTTCACACTGATGATAGTTTCTTTTGCTATGCAGAAGCTCTTTAGTTTAGTTACATCCCATTTGTCAATTTTGGCTTTGTTGCCATTGTTTTTGGTGTTTTAGTCATGAAGTCTTTGCCCATGCCCATGTCCTGAATGGTATTGTGTAGGTTTTTTTCTGGAGTTTTTATGGTTTTAGGTCTTACATTTAAGTTTTTAATCCATCTTGAGTTAATTTTTGTATAAGGTGTAGGGAAGGGTTCCAGTTTCAGTTTTCTGCATATGGCTAGCCAGTTTTCCCAACACCATTTATTAAATAGGGAATGCTTTCCACAGGCTGCATCTCTTAATAGCATCTCTATTCTTATCCCTGCTAAAAAATAATTTAGCATAGTTGCTTTACTCTGTAAAGCTATGAGGTATGAAATTGAGTTTACCGGGGGAAAAGGAGGATATAAATTTGGCATGGAAAGAAAGAACAGGAAAGTTGTTCCATATTTTTGGGAACAACCAGAGTTGCCAAGATGGATGGAGTTGAAATCCAGGAAACAATTTTTCTTCATATTCTAGCAACTCAGCAATTACTGGGAAGCACAAAGTCTTCAGATCCAGAGGGCCTTTGGTGCATGTGTTCATATATGAATGGCCCAATTGCTGTGTATGGTTGATTATCATGACTTTTAAATTGTTGACAAATAAATTCTACTGCTATTTTTACAAACATTTTTTGATTTATGGAAAAGAAGAGCTCACCTTGATATAGGTTAAATATTCACCAGCTATAAGTGTAAGGTTTTGAGAGGAGCTACTAAATCTAAATGTTGTTGATTTATTACTCTCTAAACCTGGGTATTAGTGATATTTTTAAAAAGACAATAAAATTGGAAGTATGAACATTAATTAGCACATATATATGTGAAATGATAGGCACATTTTTACTTGTTTGTGGCAATGGAAATTTAGTCTTCAACAAAACAAAGTCCCAGCTATTCTCAAGGAGTTTACATTCTACTAGAATACATTGAATTCAAGATAGATTAATATGGATGCTATTCAATCACTTACTGCCGGTCTTCTTATTTCTTGAGCTAAAATGATTGTACAACTCTATCGAGAAAAATATATTTTCTATTTTTATAGATATTCCTCATGCACACCACTTCCAGTGAATATTGTTCTGATAATTGTTTTTATTAAACCAATTCAGAAACCATATATTTTATGTACATAAGAAAGGAAGCTAATAAGATTCAAACACATACTGTGCTAAATTCTTTAGCTATATATGTAAATTAAGGAGTATTGAGAAATGCTACTTTCTTCTGGATGCCATCGTCAATTGCCTGACTGTGCTAACAAAGCAACAGTAGGAAAGAGATCTAGTTTCACATCTTGAGCAACAGCAACACAGTAGTCCTTTATTGAATAAAACTGCAGGAACAACATTGTACTGAAAATATTTTCTGAAACCACAATTCAGTTTTTTTCCTGAAAGACATTTGCAGCTTTTCTTGCAAGTCAATTTATACCATTAGAGAGAAAATGAAGCTCAAACTTTGTCGTATTATATGGCTAACACAGGACAGTTTTATATGTGTATATATAGACTTAAGCAATTCCCTATAAATATATATATAAACACTGGTTGAATTGCTTCAGTCTTTACAGATTTTTGATTTATATTCAAGCTTAGTAATTAGGTAGCTATTTCTTTTTCTGTTATTCCTTTGCCTTGGTGGTAATTGCTCTCCTTTCTTTTTGAAAGAGTGAGTACAATGTGAGAGAGAATCATGCTAATGTTTAGAGAAACTTAGAGAACAAAGGAGAGAATATCTCAGTGGTATTTGAGTCCCCATATTCTGTTCAGTTATATATGATGTATACAGTTATCTTTGTCTTTCCTGTGGTTGACTCCTTCCTTAGATTATATGAACTAATACATTCTTTTTCTTCACTCAATCTCATTTGAATTTTTTTTTTACTTGTGACCCAAAATATTGAGGAATAGAAAGATGTTTGAATTTTATGAAAAGACAAGCGAATATTTACTGATAAAACGTTTAATTCAAGAAAAGTCCATCACAAACTTAAAAAAAATACTGTGAGAAGGCTGGGTGCGGTGTCTCACGCCTGTAATCCCACCACTTTGGGAGGCTGAGGCAGGCGGATCATGAGGTCAGGAGATGGAGACCATCCTGGCTAACACGGTGCAAACCCATTCTCTACTAAAAATACAAAAAAAAAAAAAAAAATTAGCCGGGTGTGATGGCAGGCACCTGTAGTCCCAGCTACTCGGGAGTCTGAGGCAGGAGAATGGCATGAACTGGGGAGGCGGAGCTTGCAGTGAGTTGAGATAGCACCACTGCACTCCAGCCTGGGCCACAGAGTGAGACTCCGTCTCAAAAAAAAAAAAAATTACTGTGAGAAGGTGACGTAACATGAGACCTACACTCTTAACAGATTTTTAAGAGTGAAATCGTATTGTTATCTGATAGGCACTAGGTTATACATCAGATATCTAGTACTTATCTTGCATAATTGAAATTTTATACATGTTGATTAGCCACTCCCTCTTTCACCTTGCTTTATCCCCCGGCAACCATTATTCTATTCTTTGCTACTGTGAGTTTCACTTTTTTAGATACCTCATATAAATAGAACCATGTAATAGCTGTCCTTGTATGACTGGCTTTTTCACTTAGCCTAATGTTCTCAAGGTTCATCCGTGTTGTTTCATAATGATCATTAAAAAGAAAAAAAAATCCATCCTAATAAATGTTTAGTTTAAAAATGAATGTATGTAACATGAAATGTGGTTTAAGGGGGACATAATTAGCAACAGTTTCACCAATTGATGCAATAATCCAGCTGAGCAATATGCAGCAACAGAGAATGGTAGTGGCAGTGGTAATAGAGAGCAAGGGGAAGATCTAGAAATATTTAAGTGATAAAGTTCACAGAGAATTATGAAAAATGGACTCCATAAAGCCAGTGGGAACCAGGCACAGGTGGAAGCCTTGCCCTCTTCCAAGTTATCAGGATGAAAGCCTCACCCTCTCAGGTGCATCTGCAAACCCACACATCCCTGCGCTCTTGGGGGCCTGGGAAGTCCCCTCCTCTCACAGACTCAAAAGTGCTTCCTCCTGCTGCCTGGACTCTCCTCGCTTCTGGTGCACTTCAATTTCAGAGCAAAGTTAAAGCTGAGCCCGGGTGCTTATGTGACCCAACCAGGTATGCGAGCATTTGGAGCAGTGCTGACATGCCAGACCCCTACTGCCTCGGCCCCATCAGGGCTTTCAGCACCAACAAGCACAGGAGAAAGTCTGAGGGGGACAGAGTACAGCTCAGCACGGGCCTGCAGGTGCCCCTTGGAATGAATAGCCTTGGCACCATGGTCACTGTAGATGGCAGGATGATGGGAGCAGGAGGTAGACAGGCTCCTGGACAGAAAAGGGGTGCATCCCCAGTGAAGCCCCAACTTCAAGCCAGGGATGACCTGAAGCCTGGGGCCAGGCTGCAAGTTCCTCAGACCTGAGTGAGAACTTATGCTGCTTTTTCCAGGCTTGCCCACGGCTGTCCATGGACCAATCTGCATGCACTTCCACCCATCTAAAGCCCATAAAAACCCTGGACTCAGCCAGACTTGGGCAGATGATGGGATGTCTTTTCTGTAGATAGGAGCTGCTACCCACTTCAGGTCTCCCCTCTGCAGAGGGCTGCACAGATGATGGGGTGACCTGCCTGCAGAAAGGAGCTACCCATTCCAGGTTTCCTCTCTTCTGAGAGCTGAACTCTTTGGGATGACCTGCCTGCAGAAAGGAGCTACCCACTTTGGGTCTTCTGAGAGCTTTACTGTTGCTCAATAAAGCACCTCTTCACTTTGCTCATCCTCCAGTCTTCCACATACCTCATTTTTCCTGGGACAAACTTGGGACCTACTGAAGGCCACGGCTAAAAGAGCTGTAACACAAACGGCACTGAAACATGCCCCTTGCTTGCCACATTGTGGGTGACAAAAGGAGAAAAGAGAGAAAGAGAGAAGAGATGCAGCCCTTTGAGAAGCCCAGACCTAGGAGATCCCCAAGCCAGGGCCGTGACACCCACTTTGGGATTCTGCAGTTCCCAGTGTCTTTAAGCTTCCAGGCACCCCCATATTCCCTGGTGCCAGCAGTGGAACCACTTGTAGTACAACTGGTCCAGATGTAGCTTTGCAGGGAGCCAACATGCATGCTGGCACTAGAGCTGCCCTCCCTGATGCAGCCCGTGTGCAGTGGCTGGACCCTGTGTTCACTTGCTCATGAACTCCTCGCCACTCTGTACCTGGTTCACCCTTGGCAGCTGTGGGATCCAGGCTGCTAGTGCAAGCTGAGTGCAGCTTGCCAGGCTGTGTGGACAGAATGAGTCCAGTGGGCCTGTGCAAAACTTGAGCAAAGGCACCACCAGCCACAGATGTTTCAGGATGGCAAAGCAACACCCCAAGGATCCCGTGACAAAATGTTACAGAATATGAAATATGTGGGATAATAAGAACAGAATGTTGAGTAAAAGCCACATTTAAAAAGCAAGTATAATGTTCTTCAGATCCATCTGGGGGAATAAACCAGACACAGAAAGACAAATACTATATGGTTTAATTTATATGTAGATTCTAAAATACTCAAACACAGGGAAGCATAGAGTAGAATGGTGGTTACCAGAGGCTGCTAAAAGGGGGAAATGGGGAGATGATGGTCAAAGGGTACAAACATTCAGGTATTAATAGGGGTGTGAGGAAACTGGGAGGTGATAGATGTGTTAATAGCCTGATGACGGTGATGGTTTCATAGGTTTATCCTCAAACACATTGAGTTGCATACATTATCAGGCTTTTTACATGTTAATAATACTGCAATAAATTGTTTTTTAAAAGCAAGCAAGCAAAAAAAAAAAGCAGATTGGTCAGAGATGTAGAAAAATGAGACTTGAAGGTATTTTGGAAATCAAAGACTAGTTTCCCACAGGAAAAAATAATTAACTGTAAAGAGCTGTAGATACAAAAGTGATACCCACATTATTTAAAAAAAAGGTGGAGGGGAGGCTAAAGAAATGTACACAATCATGGTAATATACAAAGTACCAGTGCACAATACTGGACTGGAAAACACAAGACTTCATTTTTTTCTCCTTGCCTTGTCTTTAATTAGTTGTATGATATCTAATAAACCTCTAATTGTTGGGGAAACCAGCCTCACACCACCCGGCCGGTACCCCGAGTCCGGCAGAGACAAAGGAGTTAGAAAGAGACAGAATAAGTGTTTAAAAGGCTGATCCAGGAGTCCGGAGCGTAGGAGGCTTGCTCAGGGCCCAGAGCTCTTCAGCTCCACCTAATTTATTGGTTTACAAACTCTTCGTTCTTAGGGCAGATGGGAGGGGTAAGAAGGGATGAGGAAAAGGATTAATCTCTGAAGGAGAACTTGTGAGTCATTCAAGAAGTGGTATAGCAGTGGTGGTTTCTGTGAATTTCCTCAAGCAAAGGTGTGTGTCTAAACTACTTAAGATCTTTAACTTATGGGGACTGAAATGGGTGGGAATGGGTTTCAGGAGGAGCCAAGATGTTTGATTATACTCTACTGCTTCAAGGGAGTGTTATCTCCCTGAGCAACCTGTGGAATGCCGTGGAGTGGTTATGTTCTCTGGGCATAAAGACATGAAGGCAATAAGGAGACTTTTCTCCTCACAGGCCGCCCATGGCTCCCCATGGGTGTCTCACACAGGGGAGACTAACTCATCTGGTATCCCAGAAACTCTCTTTCCCACACTAATCATCTCTGAGGTGTGGGTGGTATGAAAAGAAAGATGACCTAGGTGACTTAAAAATTTATTACAACTTTACATTCCCATAGTTCTATTTTTTTTTCAAAATTTACTGTTCTAGAGAATAGCAAAATTTATTTGAATATTATATCTTTATAACACACACTAATGTTTAGCCCCTTACTAGTTTATCCAAAAATTTTCATTGCTTACTTTAAACTAAACCAGTGCCAGATACTGAGGATATGGCAAGGAACAAAATAAACTTTCAGGGTTTATTTTCCTTAAAAGCTGGTGGAAGATAATAACAGTAAGCTAACAATCACACAAAAATACTAAAATAAAAATGATATAATGAAATGTAATTAGAACCATGTGATATGCAAGGACATAACAGGGAACAATTTATAATAGGTTAAAGAATAAAGTTACATTTGATCAAATACCAGAAGATGAGTAAGAATATGTCAAGTGAAAACACTGGGAAGAGAGAAGGTCCTAGATAGTAAGATATGTGTGGCAATAATGGTGTGACAGAAGCAGTGTGAACAAAAAGGACTTGGCTTGAAAAGGCTGGGGATATTCCAGGACAAGAGCATGTTGAAATCTGTCAGTTGTATTTAAAATCACAAACATAATCTTTAGTTGATTTTAAAAAAACAGCCATTTGTAGGCTTTTAAATCCAAGAATAATGTGATTCCATTTGTATTTTTCAAAAGCACTCTGGTTATTTTAAAAAGGAAAGTCTGGCTGGGTGCAGTGGCTCACGCCTGTTATCCCAGCATTTTGGGAGGCCGAGGTGGGCGGATCATGAGGTCAGGAGATCGAGACCATCCTGGCCAACACAGTGAGGAGGCCGAGGTGGGCGGATCATGAGGTCAGGAGATCGAGACCATCCTGGCCAACACAGTGAAACCCTGTCTCTACTAAAACACACACACACACACACACACACACACACACACACTCTTAGCCGAGCCCTGTCTCTACTAAAACACACACACACACACACACACACACACACACACACACACACACACACACACACTCTTAGCCGAGCATGATGGCGGGCGCCTGTAGTCCCAGCTACTCAGGAGGCTGAGGCAGGAGAATGACGTGAACCTGGAAAGCGGAATTTGCAGAGAGCCGAGTTTGCGCCACTGCACTCCAGCCTGGGCGACAGAGAGAGACTCCGTCTCAAATAAAAAAAAAAAAAAAAGGAAAGTCTGAGGAAAGTGGGAGTAGATGTTTAAAGAGGTTTTGTCACGTTAGTGAAGTAGAAGAGATGGGAAATGAAGGCAGCTTGGGGTAAGGTGATAGTAGTAACAATGAGAAAAAGAAGGCCTGCTTGAGATACAAGCAGAATAAAAGAAAATAGCAGGACTCGGTGACAGACTGGGTGTGAACAGAGTGTGAGACTGAGGTGTAAATAATGACGCCCGGATTTCTACTCCTGAAAAATGAAAATGTCATTTACTGGGATTGAAAGCTTTGGGGAGAGGATTGCATTTAGAGGAGTAGATCATAAATTCAGTTGTAAATACATTAAATTTGAATTGTTAATTGCACCTTGTCAATTTTTCTGGCTTGTCTATTTTTCCCAAATATATTGTTTTGCACTTAGCAGTTGTTGAACTTTATTTTTTTGTTTATTTAATATCCTAAACTTTGTAAAATTAACTTTATCAAACAAGTTAATATGCATTCACTTTAAATCAATTTTCTTTTAATTTCACAGATCAAAAAATATATGTTTAAATAGTCTTCACAAATAAAAATCCAAACAGCATAGATGGAAACTCTATATGATGATCATAGTGATAACCATTTTGGATTTATGTGAATTATAACAGGCCTCATGATTTTTTATTACTATTGTGAGAATATTAATGAAAAATACTGTGAAATATTGCATATTTGCCTATATTATGAAATAAGTCAGATAATGACATTTTTATCATCAATTATTATCTAAAAATGGTTTCATGTAACTCCATTTAAACAGTTAATTTTTAAAAGGCATTCTTCCAGTTCATACAATTTATTGATAAGTAAAAACCTATACATAAATCTTAGTGCATTTAGGATTTACCTTCACAAACAAAAGTAGCTTTGTATTTTTGCCTATCTTATTATTAGTTTAAGTTTTTATTTTGTTTCTTTTTCTTTCTAGACTATCAAAATTTGTAATTCAAATTTGGACAGAATTTATTTAGAGTTTTTACTTTATTTTCTACATCAGGCAAAAAGCTGTTTACTCATATAATACTGCAAGTTGCTGCTTTGTTGAGTACATTAGATACTGCATGTACAAGCCTTAGGGTTTGTTTTGATTTCAACACTTGGTCTCTTGGTTGAAAGTCAAATAAAAATCAAATTAGATTTTTTTTTATTGTTGTCAAGGTTTCTCAATCTTCTTTATCCCAGCCTCTATTCTACCTCATCTATGTGTGAATTTGTATTAGTTGAGTGCCAGAAGCTAAACTTTAAAAGGAAATAAAAATTTAATTGCTTTATTGTGTCTGTCTGTTTCAACTATCTTGAATCTCTACTACCTGTTATTAGTTGAAGAAAAATGCTATCATTTTTTCTGCTCTTTTTCTCACCTCTGTACCTCACATGAGTACTGAAAGAGAAATAAACACCAACTAAAGCAAGCAGTTAGTACAAATGCTGAAACTCATGGTGTGCCCTGCTTTATTCAAGAAAATTGCTAATGCATGCCACCACTACACTAAAATAGTAAGAGTGAAAATACTCAGGGAACACAAAGTACTGGAGTGAAAGGGCAGAAGAAGGAAGAAATAATTTTTAAATAAAGAATGCCAAAGCAAGTGCGTATGGTGCCTGATAGATTTTGTTGAACTTAGCGTGGTGAAATAAAGTGATGCCAGTTACAAATTAATAATATATGGGAAAACATAGCATTCTAAAATTATGCTATTAAATACCTGCATAAGCCACAAACTCCTGATATTTTTCATTGTCAAATAACTCATTGTATTTTATTGATGACCTAATTTTGTGGGCAAGTAATAATGGGTACTATTTAAGTATAGAAAATAGTAAACATTCAGACCTTCATTTTTCTCAATAATTTAATTTGTAAATAAGACTTTGCTTTTATTTTTCCAGTAAACAGAATGTCACAGAATATCTCTAGTATATTAGCCTTCATGGAACAAAACAAAATATCTTTAAAATTTGATGACAATTTACTTTTTATTTTTATTTTTTATTTTTTTTGTGAAATGGTTGAGGGAGATTGAGATAGTTTAGAGCTAATGTACTATGAAAATATTTTTATGACAGAATATCTGGTTTCCTTCTACCAACATTCTGTATTCACTTCTTTCCAAGTTACAGGAAATAGGCTGTTGTAATATTATGAGGGTATGGCACCAGCACAACAAGGTGACCCTCAGTGAGTGACTTCTTATATAATTCCCTATTTTTGAGTATAGGTAGTTCTGTAATTTACTTCTAGGCAATAGAATGTAGCAAAAGTGATTGAATTAAATCTTCTTGATTTTATTACACTAAAAGGCATAGATAATGCTGTTAGGTACAAAATGCATTAGAGATACTCTTCTGCTAGCCTTGAAAATGCAAACTGCCATCTTGTAAACTACCTAAGAAGAGAGCTACATGGCAGGGAAGTGTAACTGCAGGAGGTGTTTAGGCCCTCAGGGTGGCCTCCAGACAACAGTCAGTAAGAAGGCAGACCTTCTGTCATACAGCTTTAAGGAAATGAATTCTGTCAAAGGAGTGAACTTGGAAGTGGATTCTTCTCCAGTATAGCCTTCAAAGAAGAACACGATCTGACCAACCCCTTGATTTTAGCCTTGTGTGAGTGGAAAACATACCTAAAAATAGTCAAATTCATAGAAACAAGCAATAGAATTGTGGCTGCCAGGGACTGGAGGGTGAGGGAAATGAGGAGTTGTTGATGGGGTATAAAATTTCATTAATGAAAGATGAGTAAGTTCTAGAGATCTGCTGTCCATCATAATGCTTATAGATAACAATGCTACAATTTATACTTAAAAAGTAGATCTCATGGTAAGAGTTCTTAAGACAGTTGAAAAAAAAGACTTACCTAAACCTTGACTATAATTCTTACTACAGAAACTGTGAGATAATAAATATGTGTTGTTTTAAGCTGCTAAATTTGTAGTCATCTGTTATATAACAACAAAAAAATTCACAGATTCAGAGAACATAAGAAAACATAGTTCTTGTAAATAATCATATACCTTTAAAATTCTTTATATAGTGGAGGGTTTTTTGCTAATCTTTCATCACATAGACAGCTACCCATCCTTCTTTTAGTGTAAGTTAACATTGATTAATAAAATATTTTGTTTGTATTTCCCACAAAGATCTTACTAAGTAAATTAATGAGTTCCTTTCGATGGCCTTTCACAAGCATTAATTTTCAGTTCTCTTCAAGCTCATGTGAGATGTTTTTTTTTCTTCAGAAATGATGATATTGTTTATTTAGATGTTATTGTGATATTTGGGTAACTGACCTAAGAATAATGGAATCCTGCTCTAGAATACATGTATTACTATCTACAAAATTTGAGTGGAAACAAAGATTATTCTTTGCTGTTAACTTCAGCTTTGGTTACAGAACTATACACTAAGAATCCTGGTAAGTGGGCTGTGATATTTTTAAGGATGGAGGTTCATTTTTAAATAAAACTATGAATCATATTTCATAACTAACTCTTCATAATACATATGGTGATTGTGACCAACCATTTTTCAAAGGTTGAATTTTAAAATTTTTTGGCATATACCTTGCTGAGTGGTTTAAATGGAAGCACAGCAAGAGTAGGAGTGTAGATACTTCTTTCACTTCATCTTCCTTTATGTTTTGCTAATGAGCTACCACCTCTAACTCTTAAGGGAAGACTTACTTATCTCTTCAACTTGCTGTGGAGCTGTGCATTAAAAATTTACTATTCACTAGAAAAACAGAAGATTATAAAAAGTTATGCTTTCTTATGGAGAAGAAAGCATGTATTGGTTTCATTTCTTTTTAAGAGTTAAATTTTCATTTCATTTGGAAACCACTAAAATATTAAGGGCCAATAAATTAAGGAAATATTTTTAAATTCCCTTACATATTGGGCATTCTACTACCTGCAAAACATAGATAAATTAAATAGTTATTTAACTATTTAGAAAAAGACATGTTAATTTGGTGGAAACTATAAAATGCAAATTACTCGAGTTTGTCTTACACTGTTAGACATTTGCTAGGCAGATGAGGAAGGGACATGCAAATGGCAAATTAACAATCAATTGAGCACATGTAATCAGCTGATCCAGTAAATTGACAGCAAACAGACTGAAAAATATAGGTTGGGGCTAGATTTTAGAAGCATTTAAAAGCTACACATCCTAATGTCTGTTAATGAACATCTATTTGATGGATGAAACATAGATTTAATGTGCTGGAGATAGCTCAAGTCAACTTGCACTGAATCAAAAGGAATAATTGTGTGCAAATCTTCCCAACTCTAAGTTCTGCAATGTCACATTGGTAGCTTGAATAGTAAAAGTAGTACCCCATGGAAATTAGCAAGTGCTATAAAACAGGACCTTTTATTTCCCAGGGAGCCAGTTCTTAAACACCTGTCAGCATACCATTGCCCACATACGTACACACGTACACATGTACACACACACACACACATTTATTCACTCAAGACATCAAGAATTGTTTATTGCATATCTTCTGTATGTAAGGCATTATCCAAAGTAATGTTTGGATAAAAAAGAAAACGTCTCTTCCCTAGTGAAGTAATAATCGAATATTTAACTAAAATAATGTTTAGTTACTGATAAATGAGATGAAAAAATAGAACTAAGTAATAGGTTAACTAGAGCAACAGGGTGTTGGCAAGGGGTTGCTATTGTAGACAGGCTGATGAGGGAAGGCCTCTTTAATGAAGTGATATTTTAGCTGAGGCGTAAATATTGAGAAAGTATCAGGATGTAAAAATTTGGGGACAATGCATTGCAAGCAGAGGACATAGGGAGTGTAAAGATTCTAGCAGAAAACAGGAATTTTTTTTCTGGGAGGCTAATGTGGGTAAAAAGCAGTGAATAATGATGAGAACAGTAGAAATTGAGGACTGAGACCTGAAAGGTAAGTGGTCACCACTTCCAGTCTGGTCTTATAGGTCATATATCTATGCATAAATTCTTAAGTTAGATGTATGTTGACACATCCATTTATTAATTTATTTGGCATCCATTATACACTAGTTACCATGATGGATTGATTAAGATAAGGAAAAGTGATTGATGTATAGTCTGTCATAAGGAATCCGTAGTCTTTTTGAGAGGGCATGACAAAGGATCAGGTCACTTGCCTGTCTTGGCTTCAAGTACCCTTCTTCACATTTCCTCCCCCAATCCCCACCTCCCATGGCTAATTTAGAAGGTCCACTTGGTTACTCTAGTTATATATTCAAATTCTATAAGAGATTCTAGTAAAATAAATTAGTATTTTGACCAGTTATACTAAAATTTGACTTGAGAGAATTTAAGAAGTCTGAGAGTCAATATATGCTTGGGCTGAGGGCTAGCAAATCAAACTTTAAAAACACACTTTATTAATAAATTAGGTTTTACTCAAGTCCATGTGTAGAACTGTAGCAAGGTTTTGTTTTATAGTTTATTTTCCCAAGGCAAAGGCAAAGTTCTGACTTTTATTATTCCGTTATGAAAAATGATCTATGCTAAAGGAGAAGAAATAAGAGGAAAAAAACAAGAAACTATTGTCAAGAATGTGTAGAGCTGACTAGCCATGACGGGCAAATAAAGCTTAGTCCCAAATGTTCAGTAGAGAAGAGAGAGGAGAAATCAAAGAAATAGGGAGAGGTCTCAGCTCTCCCACAAGGGAAGACCTTTTAGATTAGTTCTATTTATGCTTCTAGGAGAAAAAGGATCCAATAAGTGACAGACAGGAGAAAATAGTGGCTCCTCCTCCTCTTTGAGGAATCAAGCAACCAATGCTCTCTTCTGACTGCTTTTAAGCAAGAACCATTTCTTATGAAAGTGGCAGGTGGGGTGTGGAGGAATGAGAAAAAGAGAAAGAGACACGAGTCACAAGGACTATCACCATTTATCTATGCAATTTTAAAGCTCAGTTCACCAACTGTAGCCAATAAAATGTCCTTAAATCTAGCAACTCAGAGAAATGTCTCCTTCTTACAAATAAAAGAAAGGCAAGGGAGCAGTCTTTAATACTACCAAGAGTCAAACAAAATAAGCCATTAAAAGTGCTGATATAAAGATGTGTACAGGTACCAAGTGAAGATAAATCTGAGTAAAAGGGAACATAGGAAGAAGGGAAAGGAAAAGTGTTCCAAAAATAATTGTGTATTTATATATGATAATATACTTGCATTAATTTGCTTTTGGTAACTGAATATTGGAAGAAGAAAAAAATTAATTTTTAGTATTCAAAGCCAAAATTTAGCTATTTCAGAATATGGCGGTTAATAGGGTTGTAGTGGCTGATATCTTGAAATGAATGAGGAGGAGGAATTTTTCAGATTACTGCCAATCTGTTGCTTGCAATTAATGGCTAAAAACCTTTTTGTGTGCAATTATTTAGTAACTTTGCCATGTTTCCTGCCCTGATTATAAAATTTATTATTATAACATTCTGTTGAGAGGTGAAAAGGTAAATAGTCAAAAAATGCTGTAGGTCTAGGATTTCAAATATTATTTTATTGATCACAACTTTACTCTGCATGGCTGATAAGTGTGTTTGCAGCAGCTTCTTATTCTTTGATAACCTGTTTTGAACCAGCATTCTAGTTATTGATGGCAGGGGCTGCTGCCATCATGCCGGCATCAGCAGGGAAGTGCGGCTGGGGCTACACACTCCATGGAGCAGGTGGGAGCCCTGCCCCTTCTGAGTTAGGACAGGATCTCCCTGTGCCCAAACCAAAGCTGCAGACCCAGGCCTCCTGCTCTATGGAGAAGGCAGGAGCCCTGCCCTCCTGGGCGGGGCTACAGCGTCCCAAAGTGCAGTTGTGGATCCCAGCACCCCTGTGCCCTTGGGGGAGGACTGGGAGCAAGCAGGATCTGCCTTCCTGGGTGTGGCTGCGGCCGCCCTCCTAGGCACTGCAGCCACCCCCTTAGGAGCAGGTTCCAGGCATCTCTGCAGCCTGCACTCTCGGGGGCCTCAGGAAGGACCCCCCCCCCCACCCAAAACACACACACACCGCAACCCTGTCCCTGCAGGCTAGAGGGTGTCTGCTCCCACTGCCTGGCCTCTCTTTGCTCTGGGTACCTGCTCCCATCTTGGCACAGGGTTGGGGATAAGCCCTGGGGCCATGGATGGCAGCAGGAGGCAAAGTTCTGGGCAGAAAGGGGTGGGTCCCCAGTAAAGGCCCCACCTTCAGGCCTTTGAAGTGGAGTGGGGACTCATGGTGCCTCTTCTTGGCTGCCCATGGCTGCCCATGGACCAATTATCACGCACGTCCTTCCCTCTGAGGTTCATAAAAGCCCTGGGCTCAGCCAGAGCAGGACAGAAGATGGCCAGAGGAGAAGAGGGCAGAGAGACAATGGGATGACAAGCTGCAGAGAGGAGTATCCTCTCTACTGAGAGCTATTCTCTGCTAAGACCTACAGAGCCGACCTTCCCACAGAGAGGAGCTACCATCTCTGCTGAGAGCTTCAGAGACCTGCAGAGACCAGCTACTCTCTTTGCTGAGAGTTTCAAAGATCTGCAGAGATGTCCGAATAACCTGGCTGCAGAGAGAGGAGCCACTCTCTCCAGGGCCTCCTTTCTGCTGAGAGCTGAACACTCCACAAGATGACCTTCCTACACAGAGGAGCTACCCACTCTAAGTGGTATCTCCTCTGAGCTATTCTATCACTAAACAAAACTCTTCTCTTCTTCATCCTTCACTTGTCTGCCTACCTCATTCTTCCTGGATGCAGGACAAGAACTCAGCCAAAGGTGCTGCAGCCACAGAGGTTTCCTGCCAAAAAAAAAAAAAAAAATTGACACCCAGAGATCCTGTAACATTACTGTGGCTGAGAACAGCTATCTGGAAGAATTGCATGCCTAGGTCAAAAGGCAAATGCAAAAAGAATTAAAATGTAGTGTCTTTTTTCACTTGAAACTCCATGTGGGCAACCATTTAGTTGCTGTTTTCTTCTCAGATGTTCTGTAATAAGAGAGAGAAAGGTATTAAATAACACCTAATCACGAAAAAAGAGGCCTGATGTTGTTTGGGAAACAAAATGCTAAAACACATTGTAAATGGTATATACGGTGTAAATGACACAGGAAGAATATAAAATTTCAAAGGTGAATATGATACCATTTTAGGATCAATGATCAACTTATGAATGGATTTAAAGTACATCAATACTAAATTGTCATCTTTAAATTGGGAGTATTAGAAGGAAGAGTATAAAGTCCCTATCATTTTTGCAATGAAGGCCGGCACATTACCAATTCTTATTCAAAATGTTTTTATTCAATGAAATAAAGTACACATGTATACATATTTGTGTATGTGCATCTATGTATTTCAAATGATATTGATGTTGTTATTCAGGGTTCCCTGAAAAAAATGGGAAAAAAATCTTAATCAAAAAGACATATTTCTTTATAATTAAAGTGATTGCTAACTACTAAACTATTTTATTAATTAAAATATATTTAATTACAATGCATATATTCACATATCCAAATAACATTATGTAGCCTTTTCTAGCCCTATTTGAGAGAACTTAAATTTCAAATATCTCTTATATCTACACCCAAATCATGTCATGTAACTATTACTATTTCCAATTGAAAGATAAGGTATTTGAGGCTTATATATATTATATAACTTGTCCAAGGTCATAAATTTAACTGGAAAAGTCAAAAGTCAAATCCAGATGGTCTTTTCTAAAGTTGAATGTTATTTTATTGCTGTATCATTTGCTTGCATTTTATTCCTGGTTCTGCCACTTACCCATTGCCTTATTTACCTCATCTCAAAATTGTACCATATAGATTATTCTGAATCATAAATGAGACTAGATGGATAGATAAATAATTTATAAAATGTATGTTACACTTATTTCTGTGTGCACAGCATATTACTCTGGACTAATTTAAGCACACAATATATATTCAATAAATGATAGTTATTATTAGCAACCACCTGCATTAAATTTTATTGCCTCAGACTTCATGTTGTAATACAATAAATAGTGTATTCCAGAAGAACTTACCAAATTTGTTTAAAAAATTCAATTTTTAATTTAATTTATATTGGTAAAGGATTTTCTAAGTTGGACAAGATTTTATTAGCATAATTATCCAAAAAGAAATGTAACATGCATATATTGAGGGGCAGAATTTTACCTAAATTTCATTACACAAGTTAAGAAAACATGGCAGAATGACTGTTATTTCATTATAAATTAATTATAAATTATAAGGATCTATAAAGTTTTAAATAAAATATTACAGAAAAAACATCTGTCACACAATGTCTTTATTTATCTTATATTTTTAACTTAAATGAAAAAGTCACCGATTTTGCTCTAAATAAAGTAAATATAATGTGTACCATATCGTTAAAAAATCTTGTAGCTTACAGAAAGCTTGAAGATGGGTTATATTTTCAAAGAATAAAATGTATTCTATTAAATTCTAATGTAGCTTAATCATTTAACATTGCTATATTGTTGATTATAAAAGCTAGTTTACATTTTAATATGCATTGGGAACTCTTCAAAATAATTTGTTTAAGAAAAGGAACATGTAGCTCAGTCATCAGTTCATGCATGGAAAACATTAAGGATGATTCTTAAATGATTTGAATTATAACATAACATAGATATGTGTTTTAGTAATAAACGAAGTGCCATGAATTTTTGATTATCCTAGTGCCTTCTTAAAAAATGAAACAAAAAGTGACCTTTAGAATTTGGTTATTATTGCATTAGAAAATCTAGGATCACAGACTTAGATTGTATTTAAATATGTTTATTTTTCCTTTCCAATTTCTAGAAAGCCTGTATAAAAATAGATAAAATTTTGTATTGTTGTAATAATTGTTGAATAAAGCTGCAAATTATTATCAAAGTGAACTTTCTTAATATATTAAATTATATTCTCTCTGCTTAATAGGTCACCTTTACATACATAATGCTACAGTTTATTTTCTATGTAAATCAATTCAAGGTTAATTTTTACCCTAAATATAAATGCATATGTGTGTATATATACATACATAAATACATATATAAATACATATTTGTATATAAATATATATGCATATATACATGCATATAGATACACATATCTGTTTATATACACATTTAAATAACAAAAGGATAAAATTGTATATTAATCTGAGAGAAGATTTCAATATGTTAAAAACTTTTTCTTTTATATTTGATTTGTTATATATACTCTAAATGTGTCTAGATGTCATCAGAATCTAATTCTATTTCATAGGGAGGCATTGTCAAGAAATGAATTATATTCAAATTGTTTTATCTCAATGGGTCATTCATACTCAACGTCAGTACTGAGAACCAAATTTATACTAACCACTTTACTAAGTTCTTTTAATTAATAAATGGATGAGAGAAAATAATTGCCACCAGTTACCTCAACATAAATTGTTGAAATATAAAAATCTAAAGATCATTAGATCATATTATTCATAAAGTCCTATGGAGTTGCAGCTGGGTATTGTGAATCAGAAAAACTGATTTCTGGGAAGTAAGCATGGAGAAAATACATACCTCAAAATGCACAGCTCAGAACTCTAAAATTTAAATAAACCTAAAATAAAACCTTCTCATAATTCATGACTGGATTCACAAAAAGTAAGGAAAATCCTTAAATCGCCAAACCAAACAAACATTAATCGTAATACACTTGCTGTCTTAAATGTTCTGAAAATTCATGTCTTCTCAAACTGCAGATCTAATGGCATATTGGGTAATTAGAAGCAAACTCAGGAATGTGCCAGGACGGCCAGAAGAGAGATACCTGTATAAACTCATGAACATCAAAGGACTACACACTCAGTGAACAGGCAATCTATAAAGGTCAACTCAACAAAAACGGACAGTAAGGAAATCCATTTGCTCAGACGTTTGCTCTGAATAAAGAAGGAAAATGTCTCCACTGAGAAACTCAACCATCTCTCACATGGACTCATGGCCTGAACCCCTGCATGGCACAAAATCCTTCAGGGAGAGATTTTGATTAAAGTGGCTCTGGGTTGTTAGTATCCCTAGGCAACTTGCAAAATAAATTCAATTTCTCTGCAGACAAAAAAAATAGAACTCAAGACTTAAAATTTTTCATCAACAATGTTCCAATGCACACAAAAATCACAAAGTGCAATCTTTCCATATCAGTCCTGTAAAAGCTTCAGATATTAGAAATAAAGAAAAAAATTAAAATGTGAGTTTTAATATACTAATGTAAATATATAAAAAGACTTATACAAAATATATGACTCATTTTTAACTGAGTGTGTATACATGAATATAAAGTTGAAAATGTGAGGACAAATCAAGGGATTATCCAAAGCTGTCAAAGATATTTTAACAAGCACTAAGTAGATTTTTGAGAATTAAAAAAATACATATTTATAATTGAATGACAAAAGTTCAACAGATGAGTTAGGCAATAAATATAACATGTCTAAAAAGAATTGGCAGTCTAGGTGATAAATTTAAACATCTGAAGAATTTTGTACAATGAATCACATAGAAATTAAGCGATGAAAATTGTGACAGGTAGAATTACAATGGCTAGTGTACATCTAATTATAGTGTTATAATTAGAAAAAAAGGAAAGATAAGCATTTGAAAGGAGAAAATTTGTAGGCTGGAGGCTTGAAGCATGGAAAGGGAGAAATAATTGTTGGAAGTACTAGGATAATGGGGTTGGAAGAAGAAACATTTTCTAGGTCAGGGAGCAAAGGAAACTGAAACTCCAGGGCCTGTTGCACAAAGCTTAAGGAAAGTAAATTGATTTGTTCTAGGATAAATTTTCTTCTGAGAAGCAGAAGCATCTTTCTGATAGCTATTGGTGAAGCTGACAGCTGCTGGTGAAGGAAAGAAAAAGTGGATGCATGAAATGGTGACGAATAGACTATTGAAATCTTGGGTGGTGATCTTGTGCATGCATGTGTGTGTGTGTGCACATGTGCGCGTGTGTGTCTATTTTAGGTGAAATAATCCTTCCACATTGCAACATTAATTTAAATAGCAATTTAAGAAAAAGTCACTTAATACTCTTTGTGAGCCTAGAAGCCTAAATACAGTCAATCCATATAAATAGTGGATCCGTGAAATCTAGATTAAACTTCAAGAGTCTTATTTTGAAATTATTCCTAGTAACTTACAAAACTTAGCTGTCTCTTGCATTTTGACATTAATTAAAGGAAGTAAGACATCCGATTTGGGTTTATGAATTTTTGTATCTTGGGTAATTTTCACAAAACCCTTTTCCACAACCTTAGAACATCTTTAGTGCAATTCTCGGTGATCATAGTGATGATTACAAATGAGGGCATAATTTCTTGAAATTATAAAAGAAAGTGATTCTGAGCCAAATAAATTGGTGGAGTTAAGAAGAAAACCTAGACATAATGGGGGAATTATTGACTATCTGGGCAGCATTTAGAAATTTATCTGTTATATTTTAAGTACTATGTTGTTACACTTTGGGTAAAATATTAACTCTAGAGCTAAGCAAGAGGAAAAAAATCTATTTGTAACCAGAAAGTAAAAACTGACCTGACATGAATGTTGATATTCCTGAAAATATCACATCAAATTTAAATAAAATATTTGAAAAATTGTGAAATCTGCATTATAGACATTGAGGGGGTGCAGTGTTTTTGTTAGTATATTTAACATGGATAGTCAGTAATATGTGAGATTGCTAGAATAAATATGTCTAAGCAATTCCTTTGTAAAGTAGTATGCTGGAAAAATGTTATTCATTTTTGCCTAAGGGTCATACAATTTCTCAAGAAGTTAGGTTATTTCCTTGAAGGGGGATGGGAGGTTCCTAACAGATATCCTTTGGCTTCTACTGTGCTTTACTCACTGAGTTGAAATTGCCTTTAGCAATTACTTTAGAATATGGGCTATGGACCAAGTAAATGAAAATCACCCAGCATAGTTTTTAAAAATGCATACCCCTGTGCCCTATTCCAGGCTCAAGGATGTAAATTCTTAATAATATTTCTACATGAAAGTTTGAGAAATTGGACCATGCTGTTGGGCTGCTGCTCAGCAAGTTTTGGAAAAGCTAATAAATACTATTTTCATTATAAACTACAGACATTTATAGGAAGTGAAGTACTAAGACTGGAGAAGAGAATTTAAATTTTGGTTAGAAAGTCTATCTAGTTTCAAGGAAAGGGCACAATTACAATCATTTAAAAGTTGCCTTCAGGCAGAATGTCATAAGAGAAAGAGCTGCTGTCTCCTTACAACCCTAACCCTTGGAGATGGGATGGAAATAAGAGGGATGATGATAGATTCCAGAGCCAACTAATAGCTATATAACACATGCACAGCCAACAGCAATAACTAAAACTTGGAAAATGCTCAGGAAGACAGAATATGGCAAGATCCTGACATGTGTGGGGTAAATGACAGCCTAGTGAGGCAAAAGACCAGGAGTCAAATGTATAGCAGGTAGCATGATGGCTTTCTAGCTGTGCTCCTGTGTTTCACTTGCATTGCCCTAGGGGCATTATTATCCACTCACTGTCACGAGTATAAGAGCAATATAAGTTTCTGACTCTGAAGACACTGCAATATTACACAGAGATGAGATGTCCCTGGGCTGAGAAGAATTTTAACATGTGCAGTTCAGCTTACCCATTTCCACCACTGTAGGATATATGAGCTCAACATGAGGAGGTAATTCTTGGAAAAGGGCAGTGAGTGCCTGGGTGAAGTACAGGGGGTTTCCTGAGGTCAAAGAGGAGGAACTCATACTACAACATGAAAGTTTATCTCACCTTAAGGGCTTCACCATACTTAGCTGATGGGTCAAAAGTCTCTTAACTCACCGAAGACAAAAAAAAAAAAAAAAAAGCTATTATTAGGCAAGAGGATTGCTTGAGCCCAGGAAGTTCAGGCTGCAGAGAGCAGTGTTCATGCCACTGCACTCCAGTCTGGAAGACAGAGTAAGACCCTGTCTCAAAAAAATAATAATAATTAATTATAAACATTGGATATGATAAAAACTTCAGCTGAGTTAAATTTAAAGGAGTTTAATTGAGTAGTGAACGACTGGTGAATTGGGCAGCCTCTTGAGCCCAGTATGCTCAGAGAGTCCAGCTTCACCACATGGTTGAAGACTTATAGACAGAAAAAGGAAAGTAATGTACAGAAAACAGAAGTGAGGTGCAGAAAGAGCTGGATTGGTTACAGCTTGGCATTTGCCTTATTTGAACACAGTTCTAACAGTTGGCTACATTTGATTGGCCAGAACTCAGTGATTGGCACAAGTATATGCTAAGGTCTGTTTATTTTACACCTTCACTTGTTATAGTTCATGATGTACAGAGAATCCTTTGGGCCAAACTTAAAATATGTAAGCAGGCAGCTTTAAGCTAAATTTGATTTAACAGATATAAAAAATGTGAAAGTTGAAATATGGAATTCAACGTTTGAATTAAACAATAAACTGGTAAAACAGAGTAAATTAGAATATTAAAAGATTAACAAATGTCTTATTTTAAAAGCCTCCAAAAACTGATGAAGATAAGGGAAACATAAAGAAAAAGTAAGATCCTGCCGGGCGCGGTGGCTCACGCCTATAATCCCAACACTTTGGGAGGCCGAGGCGGGTTATCTGAGGTCAGGAATTCGAGACCAGCCTGGCCAACACGGTGAAAACCAGACTCAACTAAAAATATAAAAATTAGCTAGGTGTGGTGTCACGTGCCTGAAATCCTAGTTACTCGAGGCTGAGGCAGGAGAATCACTTGAACCCGGGATGTGGAGGTTGCAGTGGGCTGAGCTCGTGCCACTGCACTCTTCACTCCAGCTTGGGCAACAGAGTAAAACTCTGTCTCAAAACAAAACAAAGAGAGAAAAAGTAAGATTCATGGAGCCTAGAAGGAGTGTTCAATACCTGTGTAATCGAGTTATAAGTGGAGAGGAATAAATTAAATGGAAAATAGAAGCCTTAAATTAATAATGACTGAATGACAACTAGAATTAAAGATGTAAATTATCAGATTGATCTGTCACAGAGAGTCAAGAAGAGATAAATATGTGAAAAAAACAACAAACAAATCCCCACAACTAAGTGTGGTAAACAGAAATCTGAGAACATTAGAAACAAAGACAAAATGTGAAATGCAGAGGAAAAGAGCAGACCAAACACAAATGGACAAATTTCAGATTGAAGACAGACTTAACGGAGATGCCATATCACAGAAAACAAAGGACACATTTTCAAAATGTTAAAAAATATTTTAAAAATATTTTAACTTAGGTAAAAGAGTATCTGGAGAACAAACCTTTTAAAATTTACTGCACAAAGACTCTCCTTAATTGCCTTCTTGAATTCTGCCAAGAAAAATTTTTAATCTAAAAGAAATCAATAAAATATGGAAAGTAAAGTGAGTAAATAATCTACTGAAATATAGCATCTGACATACATGTTAAATTGATTTAATGGAAATTTATTTCTATTCTTTACCTCTTACTCTAGTAATGGTCTTTTCAATGTGATTTCACAGCCTCACCTAATATGGTTTATCTTTACCTCTCCTGGGCTAGCCTCCTGATCTACTTTAACCAACAGAATGCTGCAGAAGCTGTGTGCTCTTTGAGAGCCTGGGTTCATCATGAACTTCTGCTTGCTCTCCTAAAATCCTGATGCCAGCCTGCTGCATGATGAAAGACATGTGGTTTAGCCTTGAATAACCCACCCACTGGTTGTGACCTGAACTTTAAAAAATTTTTTTTTACTTCCTATCATTTTCACAAATGGATGGCTCCAATTTCATTGAAGAGTCCATGACAGGGTGGTATGCCATAGTGTTTTCTCAACCATTCTTCCAGTTGTAGACACTTGTAACTGAAAAGAAACTTAGGGTTCATGCTCCTGTCTAAACTTTTAGATGCTTCTCTTAATTCAGACAATCTGTCAGTTTGTCTGAGACAGATCCCTGTGTTTCTCAGGTCAGACATTGGTGACTGTTTGTTCAGAACTCTTTACTTCCAGTCAATCCAATCTATTATTTATTTGGAAGCATGGACAGAGGCTTTCACACACACACACACCCACACCCACACCCACCCACACAAACACACACACACACGCACACACTTTGGTTTACCTTTGTCTTAATATAATTTACATCACATTTATTGAGTGCTTTTCAACAATGTTTGCAGCGAAAAATGTCACAGAACAACAGCAAATACAAAATGATGGTCTTTTTAAGGTGCTGTAAGGACATAATAGGAAATTAGTTTGAAATGTCTACATTTCTCATAATTTTCTCATAATACCATAATTTGGTATTATGAATGTTTATGCATAGGAAGAGAAAGGTAGCACAAATTTCCTTAGGCAGCAAAATTAAAAGAGTTGTTGTCTTAAAAACCCAAACTCCAGGAGGAACAAGAATGGTACCAGCTAGTTGCCACTTTTATTTTTTTATCTTTTATTTATATATTTATGTATTTATTTTTGAGGTGGAATCTTGCTCTGTTGCTAGGCTGGAGTGCAGTGGCACGGTGTTGGCTCACTGCAACCTCCGTCTCCTGGGTTCAAGCAATTCTACTGCCTCAGCCTCCCAAGTAGCTGGGACTACAGGCGCATGCCACCATGCCCAGCTAATTTTTGTATTTTTAGTAGAGACGGGGTTTTACCGTGTTGGCCAGGATGGTCTCAATTTCTTGACCTTGTGATCCACCTGCCTCGGACTCCCAAAATGCTGGGATTGCAGGCGTGAGCCACCACGCCCGGCCTAATTGCTGCTTTTTAATAATCAATTGACTGTTTCCTTTTAGTCAAAAACTAATTTATTCATTCAGAAACACCAACCTAATAGAGTTACCACTAAGTCAACGCTACCATAAATCAACCCCAGAAGGTAGAATTTTTTGATAGACTTGGCATGAGTGAAAAGCAAGCTCTATACTTTCTTAGGATTCTACTTGTGGGTAATCATAGGACATCAGGGCGTATCACTTTGCAGTAGGCTGGTAGGAGTTTGTTCTTTGGATATCATTTTCCAAATCACATTAAACAAGCCTAATGCACTCTGGTGGGCCTTTTATTACTGTCTTACTGTCTGTAATTGCCTTTAAAGCAAACAGAATGGAATCCCTGAAAATCATTGTTATTTATATATTTACAAAAAAAAATCTATGCAGCTCGAAGTAAGTGGAAGTTACCGGTATAGCAAATCTGACATGGTAAGGTATGACAGCTCTGAGGATTTCCATAGGAAAGAGTCATTTTAAATTAACATAGATTGAAAATCTTTGTACTGCTTGCATTTTTTTTTTTAGGCCTGAGCACTTTAAGTATTTAAGTCTAAATTGATTTGTTAGTCCTGAGTGTTGCTGGCAGAAAATCCAGTGAAAGTTGCCAATATTTAAACATGAATTTTCACAGGAACAGATATTACATTTCTTTACATTACAGGCAGACCAAAGGAAAAAAAATAGGTAAAATGAAGCCCTACTGAATAAAATATTATTAACATAAAAACAGAGTACTTAATTTACAATAGAACCATACCATGATGTAAACAATAAAAATAATATTTCTAGATGCAAACTTCACATAGTAAAGGCTTTCAATTATCTTTTATAATTATTTATCAAATTAATTAATTTGGATACATTTTAAATGCTAAGAAGATGAGTTGTATAATTAACATGTAGGTGGTGTGACTTTAGATATTTCAATTTTGAGCAAAGAGTACCAAAAAGTTTAGCTATTTCTCCACACCATAGTAACTAAACTGTGTGTGGCCTTTACACGTTTAAAATACTTATAGAAATAATTCAAAATTTTACCAAAAATATAATCTTAAACTTTTAATTAAAACTTTTCAAGGAAAAAAATTCTAAATCAATGATTAATTCATTAAGGATAGAAGGAAAAAATATAGCACGAAAATCTTAATTGATAAAGTATGAATGTGTTCATTTTTATGTGACTGAATGCATACCATTCTAGGAGAATAGCCCTTAAAGGGGAAAAATAGCAAAACGTGCATATGATGATGGTAGCAACAGAAGTTATGCATCTAGTGTGGCTTATCTTATTTTTATGCAGCTGTAGCTTTTGTAAACACACATGCACACACACAGACATTTTATATTTCCTTTATAGAAGCTGACAACATTTTATTACTATTGGTTAATAAAGCCATCATATCTCAAATCTTTGAAAAAATGAAGGTGGTCTAATTTAGGAAAAAAATCTCTAAGTCAGTATTACCTCTTGAGAATATTCAAGGCCAAATAAATGGATTCTAAATCCTCTGATTTCCCTTTGTGCTGTGCACATATATGAAGTTATAAACAGAACTAAAAACCCCTTTTAGGTGTGTTCATAATTATATAGGGAATTTTATAGTTGTAAACACCTTGCGTTAATGGAAACAGCATTTTTAAGAGATAAACAAACAAAGCATGTTGTTTCCAAAAGTAATAATGTTGAAAGCTAATGCATTACATCACACATTTGGGCTATTCATATTATATTTAATTGAACCTTATAATACCCCATTAGTGCTGATAAACTTTAATATTTTTATTTTTATTTTTATTTTTTTTGAGATGAAGTTTTGCTCTTGTTGCCCAGGTTGGAGTGTAATGGTGCAATCTCTGCTCACTGCAACCTCCGCCTCCCAGGTTCAAGCGATTCTCCTGCCTCAGTCACTCAAGTAGCTGGAATTACAGGCGCCTGCCACCACGCCCAGCTAATTTTTTGTATTTTTAGTAGAGATAAGGTTTCGCCATGTTGGCCAGGCTGGTCTCAAACTTCTGATGTCAGGTGATCCACCTGCCTCGGCCTCCCAAGGTGCTGAGATTACAGGCGTGAGCTACCGCACCCAGCCGATGAACTTTGATACATTTTTATTATGCACATGACATGATAAGGCAATATATAAATGCTGCTGAAACATAAGGATGAATAAAATACTATTGTTGCATCCTACACGCTTGACAGTCAAATAATAAATGGACTCTTTTTTAACCTCTACTAACTAGGGTAAAAGTAGAAGAAAACCTTATTTTTTTTTTTGTCCCCACTAAGTGCTGCAACCTGATAAGGGATTTGATCTTCCACACATTTAGAGAAGAGTCAGCTAAATTTCAGGTACTTTCCCTCATTTGTTTATTGTAATCAATTCATCCTTGATGATAAAACAACCAAGTAAATATGTTTGGTTGTTAAGACCCAAGGATAGTTTTATTTCATTAATGTAACTATGCAGTACAGTTTCATAATAAGACTGAAACTGTATCTAATTTAGATTTCCATTTCAGTATATTTTAGGCCTATCCCATGGAGAAGTCACATTTTGTGGGCCCTTCATGATCAGGAACTGTGGGATTGGAGTTTTCTAAAAGATCAAGTCACTGCTCTGAGAATGTTTAACCTAAATATTAATAATATGATGAAATGTATTATGGTAATATATCAAACTCAACTTTTGTTTTGAATTATTTATTTTTATTAAATAAGGAGCAAATGTTAACGTAATTTTGATCCAGGAGTCTCATCTGATTGCTGAGGAAGTCCTTGAGAAAAACAATGTCACCATCAAATACAAGTTCTCATGTCTGGTTAATTTTGTTAGATTATCCTTTCTCTAAGAGCCATTATACGCTTAAAGTTATTTTAAGTATATTAAAATGTTAAAAGTACACAGAAAACCAAATACAGGAAGCCTGTATCAGTGATTAGAAACCTTGAATTGAAAGAAACCTTTTAAACATACGATTATGTTTAAAATCTTGTTACATTTTAAAATATGTATGTAAAATATTATAAATATCTTGAATTCCTTCAGTGGAAATTTACATAAGCGTTTTATCTGTCTATTAAAACTTTACAATATAATGATGTTTCTGTATGACAATGCCTTCCGAACAAATAACTAAGGAAAACTTTATGTTTTTTTTTTGACATTGTAGTTAATGCGCATGTTTTTTATTTTCTTTTAAAAGAACTTTAAGGAAACTTTTCATTTTGTGTGTATTTGTGTGTGTGTGTGTGTGTGTGTGTGTGTTTGTGTGAATACATATGCATGTGGCATATATATATATTTCTTGCTATGTTAATTATATATTTTGTTTGTGAAAATGTATGTCTATTTTTCAAAATTATTGACTTTTGTCTGGGGAATATAAGCAAAAGATTCTAAAATATTTCAAACACTAGAAAGCAACATGCCTCTTGCTTCCAAGAGGTAGAACTTAGCATGAAGGGTACAGGATTCACGTTCAAGTGATAAGAAAATGTATCTCTTCTGTCCTGTGCAGAGTCACCTATATTTACCTCTTGCTGCAGTAGCCTAAATCTCCCTGCCCCTATCTTTTTGCTTAATGTTTTATTCTCAACTCAGTAGCCAGTGTAATTCTTTAAATGTTTAAATCAGTCAACCTTAATTCTCCAGATCTCGCTCTACTTTTTCTGAGAATTTGACCTTCATAACTTTAAAATTATTTGCTAAACCTTGACACTGGATAAGATCTCTGATTCATATGAGTCTGATTTGACAACAAGATCCTATGTGTTAGAGTGAGCTTTGTTTTAAACTATTGAAAATTCTTAAAAGTGTCAAAACTGAAGTTTTGAGTACTGTCATTCTGCACTGTTTTATTAAGATTTTCCAATGGATATTGAATATAATGGAAGTAGATTGAGAGATATGATTTAGGACATCTAGTATATTTTAAAGACAAAACCTGACGTATAATATAGTTCTTGAAAAAATTAAATATTTCAAAACCCCAATTGATCACGGATAGGTTTTTATCAAGGAGGAAGCTGTTATACCGCTGCTGAAGGACATGTGTGCATCTTCAACATGAACTGTTTTACAGAAAAAAACTGTAAAAATCTAATTACCCTGTGTGTGTGTAACAATATTTGCACATTTTGACAATTATAGCTTGAATTTAGATGGGTAAATTTTGCTTTCTTTTGGTTGCAATTTTAAATTATGTCTGCACTGTAAACAGTTTCTGGCATATTTCTGTTCCAAAGGTTTCATAGTTTAGAAAGAAGACTGTTTTTAACATGACATTCTACTCTATCAAATGTTTTAGCTATAATAACAAAAATATAACTATCTTCAATATTGAACATTTATAACAGTCTCACTAATTTCAGATGTTTCAATTATTACAGAATGAATTCCTATAAACTTTATTCTCATTCCGTGAATTATATGAGAAAATGAAAGATTATTAGAATTCTCTAATTTCCTATTTGAACCATCCAACAACATCCCTTTAAAACTGCCATCTTTTAACTCTTTGTTAATGAATCAAGAATATCAGTAGTTTATACCTTGTGGCAAACAGTCTGAATGCAACACAAAACTTGGATTAAAAATGAGCTTAATTAGAACTATTATTTAATCTAAGTGAAAAGCCATGCTTCATTCATTAATATAGCAGCCCCTTTGCTAATGCACATATTAAATAGTTATCTTTAGGTCCAGTGTTTTTAAAATAATGATGGAAGATGCAGTTGTTTCTTCAGTTGAGTTGTGTTTTCTGATTTGTGCTTTTTTTAATGTAAAATATATGTCTTCTGATTTCTTATGATAGTAATATAAGTATAGTTCCTATTCTGGGTGTGAAATGTCTACAAACACTTTGTCTAACTTACACAGTAATCACCATTGTCTTAAAAATAGAAAATCATTAAACATGCTCTTGTGTGGTTGAGTCAAGGTCTCATTCTGTTGCCCAGGCTGGAATGCAATGGCGCAATGACATCTCACTGCAGCATTGATATCCTGGGCTCAAATGATTCTCCTACCTCAATCTCCTGAGTAGCTGGGATTACAGGTGCCTCCCTGTGTCTGGTGTCAGACTCCTAGGCTCAAGCAATCCACCCATCTCAGACTCCCAAAGTTCTGAGATTACAGGCATGAGACACCATATCCGGTAAACATGCTTTATTTTTTGAGCTCATTCCTGTTAGATGATCTATTGCAAAACCGAAAGACATTATCTAATCATAACATGGGTAGTTGCAGTTTTATACCAAAAAATGACTGCAACACCAATGTGACAGATTCAGACAACTTTCTATATGCCATATAGCTTGAATAATCAGCCTCCACTTCCTGCATTTTTTTCACATATGCCTAACTTCCCATGTTTCCAATTGGCTCCACCAATTTGGTGGCCTATGACTGTCTATAAAACTGTCTAGTATGCCTAGTGGCTCAGCTGACAGCAGCATCAAATACTTATGTCATCACCATCCAAACCCAAAAGGAATTAGCTTTTCGTAATTGTTCTTATCTGAGGCAAATCCCATTTTATCATCCAGCCCTATATATACTCTCCTGGAAGTAAAAAGGTGTCAGAGAAGAGTTATAAATGAATTTTTTAAATAATCATATTTTGTTTGTTTGTTTTTCTGTGCCATAAGATTTTTTTGCCCTTTTTAAAAAAATTATTATTATACTTTAAGTTTTAGGGTACACGTGCACAATGTGCAGGTTAGTTACATATGTATACATGTGCCATGCTGGTGTGCTGCACCCATTAACTCGTCATGTAGCATTAGGTATATCTCCTAATGCTATCCCTCCCCCCTCCCCCCACCCCACAACAGTCCCCAGAGTGTGATGTTCCCCTTCCTGTGTCCATGTGTTCTCCTTGTTCAATTCCCACCTATGAGTGAGAACATGCGGTGTTTGGTTTTTTGTCCTTGCGATAGGTTACTGAGAATGATGATTTCCAATTTCATCCATGTCCCTACAAAGGACATGAACTCATCCTTTTTTATGGCTGCATAGTATTCCATGGTGTATATGTGCCACATTTTCTTAATCCAGTCTATCATTGTTGGACATTTGGATTGGTTCCAAGTCTTTGCTATTGTGAATAATGCCGCAATAAACATACGTGTGCATGTGTCTTTATAGCAGCATGATTTATAGTCCTTTGGGTATATACCCAGTAATGGGATGGCTGGGTCAAATGGTATTCTAGTTCTAGATCCCTGAGGAATAACCACACTGACTTCCACAATGGTTGAACTAGTTTGCAGTCCCACCAACAGTGTAAAAGTGTTCCTATTTCTCCACATCCTCCCCAGCACCTGTTGTTTCCTGACTTTTTAATGATTGCCGTTCTAACTGGTGTGAGATGGTATCTCATTGTGGTTTTGATTTGCATTTCTCTGATGGCCAGTGATGGTGAGCATTTTTTCATGTGTTTTTTGGCTGCATAAATGTCTTCTTTTGAGAAGTGTCTGTTCATGTCCTTCACCCACTTTTTGATGGGGTTTTTTGTTTTTTTCTTGTAAATTTGTTTGAGTTCATTGTAGATTCTGGATATTAGCCCTTATTTAATCATATTTTGAATTAATATGAACTGAAAGTTCAAAGTTGAGGTCTACTTACTCCATAGTTGCACATAATAGTCTGTTAAAAAAAATGAAAGAAAAAAGAATCCAAGACAAAATCTAAACCAGGATAAATATTGATCTCAATTTGAATAAACACTGGGACAGCAGGAATGAGTAAGCAAATAAGGATAAATGGTCATGAAGACTCCATTCTCACTTTTCTCTAATACAAGAAATAATTTTCCAAAGTTAATGAATGGGGAACATAAGAAGTTACCATACTTGTGGCTCCATATGCCTGAAATGCATGGAAAACTTTCATGCCTCCTGACAATTACCAGTATTTCCAAGCCCTTCCTTGAAGTTAGGTTGGGACCATGTGACTATTCTGGCCAAAGGGCAGAGAGTATGTGTGCTATTTATGGTCTGAAGTATTAAAGGTGAACTGTGCCTACTCTGTTGCTCTTTTCTACCTCAAATGTCTTTTTGAGTCCACAGGATAAAAACAACCTGAACTTCTGTCATAACCTGGAAGAGTAACTTGTATCATGTACACATGTCATAAGAATTTAAGTAAAAATATTTGGGGTAAAATCCTGAGATTATGATTTTTTTAATCACTACAGCCTCTTCTAGAGTAGCACCTCTTGACAAATAATGCTTCTCCCAACATTCCCATTGTCTGCTCACTCACATTTTCAGGTTGTGTTCAAATACTCTCTCGGGGTAGATCTTCGTTGACCATTCTACCATGCTATTTAAAATACTGCTTACTGATGACACTTTTTTCTCCTTTAAGTTTCTTCACAATATGTTTCACAACATTGACTTGCATTACATAGTTATGTGTGTACTTATTTATTACATGAAGAGTCTGATGGAACCTAAGCTCTTTGAGGACTTTCTGTGGTCTTATACTGAATCCCCTGTAACAAAAATAGAATTACATACTTAGTAGATGTTGGCACACATTAGTAACTTCTACATATATGAAGAAATTCTCATTCTTTGGGGAAGATGGAGGTTAGCCTTCCAGGGAAAGATTTTGTTGTCTCAGGGACCTTCTTACCTAAAGTTGTGGCTGCCATTAAAATCAGAGAACATGCAGAAGACTTCAATTGGCATCAGAGTTGGGCATGAGATGGGCATTGGGTAAGCAGACACAAAGCCTGAGCAGCAAAAAGACACAACCAATGTAGGGGTGTAGAGGTGGGCAGCAAAAAGACAAACAAGAAAATTAAGCAGGTGAAGAAATAGTGAGGAAAAGCCTAGAAATTTGTCTGAAGAAATTCTATTTTCCATGGATATTGTTGTTGTTGCTGTTGCTGTTGCTCCTGCTATCTTTTGGGGTAATTAGGAAGAGTCATTTTTACTGAGATTATTACTAGTGGAGATATTATCATATTAGCTGTCTAATAAGTCAATATTAGAAATTTATACAGAAGAGCCATGATAAAATTATAAAACATTGCCAAGGTTAGACAATATGATTTTCTGTGCATTTTTTATCTTGCTAAATGGAAGATTTCCTGTGAACTAGATTTAGCACTTATTTTGAGCACTGTGACAGGTTTATATTTTAGAGGAAGTGAAAAATTTGTTTAAAATTACCAATATCAAACAATCAGGTGTTAAATCATGAAAACAAAAATGATTAAGGGAAGGCTTGGTAACTCTTTAAGCTGTTATAGATAAACTACAGGCTGGCTTTCCTTTTGCAACCTGCAAAGTAAACATACTTGGTTAGCATATCTAGAAGATCATTATTATTTAAATATTAAAAATAAAAATATGTAAAATATTAAAAATTCTAATCTAATTAGATTTCATAGTTACATAGACTTCTACCCTCACGGAAATCTTTCTTATTTTTTAGTCAAATCAAAATTTAAACAGAATTTTAATTTTATAATAAATGAGTCAAGTTACAAATACTTTTAATTGGTTTACTTGGTAGCTTAAAGGAGCAACAACATCTCAATTTCATTTTACTCTTGATTTCCTGTTAATAATTACATTTTACTGTTTAGATTTCCTGTTAACAATTACACAATCAGTTAAATTGAAAATTCTGGCATTAATTCTTCCAAGGTTTCCCAAAGAGTGTGCTGACAATTCTCATTCATGAAATTTTACAATGCTGTGATATAATAATAAAAGTTTTTCTTAATTGCATTTTACTGCTAAAAGACATTTGTGCATTTTGTGAGCTTTTAGAAGGCAGCATTCTGCTTCTTTATTGATACTGTAAATTGACACATTATATTTTCTCAGTACATTACAAGTATTTCCCAAAATAATAAGATAATAGACTAGGTAATTATTATCCAGCACGCTGAGATGTATATGTGTAACTATACCCACAACCATAGGCATTTTAAGCAAGAAAGAATGAATTAAAAATGCTACACTATTATCTTTTTTAGTTTATAGAGATTGAAAACTACTTCAATTAACAGATTAAATTTGTTAAAGAAATTTTGTATGTTTTGCAGTATACAGTTACATTGTTACCTGCTTCTATTCAAGCTAAAATATTAAAAATATCCCATAATAATATGTAAAATATAAATATTTCTATGTATTTTTAACTTTTCTTTTTCCTGTCAAATTTTATACATTTTCTTAAAACTCATTTTAAATCAGAAATATTACAGCTCAAGTAAAATCATCACATGCACAATTCCTGAGCCAAGGACAATTCTCACATACATTCTCTGAATCTAATTTTGATCTTTTTGAGATGCTTGTAGCATATGTACTTTTTCTTAAACACACTTACAAGTTCTTGTATCAGTATAATTTTGTAAATATCCTTGCATTTTTATTAAATTAATGAAAAATGTCTACCTAAATATTTCTAGGACTATAAACACTCAGAAGCATTGATTTATTGAAGTCACATTTTTCCTCACATATTTCATAAAGCAATTTTGAAACTAGAAACTAGAACAATGAATTTGTAAGCTCAGGCTTAATTTGTGCTTCAATGTAGAGAAAAAATTTTGACCAAAGGGAAGCAGTGAAGCTCTTCCATATCACAAGGAAAATAACCAACAAAATGTATCTCTTTTTAATTTGGTTCCATGGTACAGCAAAAATGCAAGTTTTTTTCCCAACTTCTTTTGTTCCACTTTTATAACAATTATGGTAAATCTAATAGGAAAAAAGGCTCCCTCCCCATATAAGCTGAAAAAGCCTGAAAGTCTTATTAACTGGAAGCATTTATGGACACTTAGGTAATGTTTCAGAACTTATCTTTCACTAGGCTAACCAATGTTTTTTTGCTTAATGAATATATTTGTCCAGAAGTGACGCCAGTTGTGCAATCTGGATTTCCTAGACAATATGTTAGGTGATAACAGAACTTTCTCTTTCTTCTAGCAGGAGGAAGTTGCAATTGAACTCATCTTCCCAGAGCCCAGAGTGGTTTTCTCGCTCCCGTAAGAGGTAGCTGCTACTTATCAAAGGTTCCAGCTCTCTAGATGCTACAAACACGAAGTTATTTCAATAATACATATCTAAACCAGACTGCAAGGCTAACATCAAAAAAGGTATTTCCTGGATTTTCTTTTATGATTTTTATATTGTGAGATCTTAATGTCTTTAATCCATCTTGAGTCAACTTTTGTGTGTTGTGATTGGTAGGGGTCCAAACTCATTCTTCTGCATATGGATAGCCAGTTATCCCAGTACCATATGTTGAATAAGGAATCTTCTCATTGCTTATTTTTCTTAGCTTTGTTGAAAATCAGATGATTGTAGGTGTGTGGCTTTATTTCTGGGTGTCTTTATTCTGTTCCGTTGGTGTATGTGTCTGTTTTTCTACCAGTAGCATGATATTTTGGTTATTGTAGCCTTGTAGCACAGTCCCAAGTTGGGGAATGTGATGCCTTCAGCTTTGTTTTTTTTGCTTAGGATTGTTCTGGCTATTCAGGCTCCTTTTCGATTCTGAGTGGGTTTCAGAATAGTGTTCTTTACTTCTTTGAAAAATGACATTTGTAGTTTGATAGGAGCAGTATTGAATATGTAAGTTGCTTGAGGCAGTGTGGCACGTGTACCCCCTGATTCTGAAATAAAATTTGAAAGAAGTTAAAAAAATAAACCAAACTACATGGCCCTTAAATAGTCCTCCTAATAACAAGATATATTTACACTTCAACATAAATGGAAGAAACATATGGTAATTGTATTTTTCATTTTTTGAGGAACCTCTATACTGTTTTCACAATGGCTGTACTAATCTATATTCCCATCAACAGTGTACAAGAGTTCCCTTTTTCCACATCCTTATCAAACTTATCATTTGTCATTTTGACAATAGCCATCCTAACAGGGGTGAGGTAGTGTCTCATTGTGGTTTTAATTTGCATTTTTTGATAATTAGTAATTTTGAACATTTTTTATATACCTGTTGGGCATTTGTATGTTTTCTTTTAGGACATTTCTTTTCAGATTCTTTGTCTATTTTTTCATCAGGTTATTTGTTTTCTCACTGTTGAGTTATTTGAGCTTCTTATATATTTTGGCTATTAACCCCTTATCAGATGTATAGTTGGCAAATATATTATCTCATTCTGTGGGTTGTCCCTTCATTCTGTTGATTGTTTCCTTTGCTGCACTGAACCTTTTTAGTGTGATGCCATCCCATTTGTTTATCTTGATTTTGTTGCCTGTGCTTTGGGCTAATAGCTAAAAAATCATTACCCAGACCAATTTCCAAGAGTTTTTCCTG
Source organism: Homo sapiens (assembly GCF_000001405.40). Taxonomy (NCBI): domain Eukaryota; kingdom Metazoa; phylum Chordata; class Mammalia; order Primates; family Hominidae; genus Homo; species Homo sapiens. The sequence goes on from NC_000002.12 coordinate 194,286,098, forward strand.
AATGTTTTCCTCTCATAGTTTTACATTTTAGGGTCTTGCCCTTGTCTAGTTCATTCCACTTCTGGGTATATATCCAAAAGAAATAAAATCAGTGTGTTGAAGAGATAGTTCCACTTCCATGTCTATTACAACATTATTGACAATAGCCAAGATATGAAATCAGGCCGGGCGCAGTGGCTCACTCCTATAATCCCAGCACTTTGTGCGGCTGAGGCAGGCAGATTGCCTGAGGTAGGGAGTTCGAGACCAGCCTGACCAAAATGGTGAAACCCCATCTCTACTAAAAATACAAAAATTAGCCAGGTGTGGTGGCGCATGCCTGTAATCATAGCTACTTGGGAGGCTGAGGCATGAGAATCGCTTGAGCCCGGGAGGTGAAGATTGCAGTGAGCCGAGATCACACCACTGCCCTCCAGCCTGGGCAATAGAGTGAGATTGAGTCTCAAAAAAAAAAAAAAAAAAAAAAAAGATATGAAATCATCCTAATATTGATCAAAAGACACAAAACTTGATAGGAGAAATAAGTTCAGGAGGTCTATTGCAAGCATAGTGACTATAATAAATAACAGTTTGCTATATGTTTGAAAATTGCTAAGAGAATAGATTCTAAATATTTCACTACAGAAAATATGATCAGTATTCGAGGTAATGAATATGTTAATTAGCTTGATGTAGCCATTCCATAATGTCTACATATATCAAAACACCATGTTGCATACTACCTGTATATAAAAATTTAATTTGTCAGTTAACAAAGAAATAAATTAAAAAATGGAAGGAACAGCAGTACAGTCTCTTCTGTGGAGTATGAGCCAATTGAATGTTTGGCCACAGCACATGTCCTGCAAGCTGATGAAAGGACTGGGGGACCTATGTCCTCTCTTCATTATCTGTGGCCTGTAAATTCTTAAATAAAGACTACAAGTACCTTTGTTAAACTATATCATTAACATTTTGGATTTTGCACCAAGTTATATGCCATTTGGTTGAATGCCTGTTTAAAGAAAGATATGAAAAATATTTTAAAAGCCTATAAGTCTTTACAAAGATTGATAATTTGTTATTTAAAAACAAAGATGTTCACTGCAACTTTACCAGCATTTGCTGTTTTTGTTTGTTTGTTTACTTTTTAATAATACAATTCTGTCTTGTGTGAGATAGTATCTCAATGTGGTTTTGATTTGCGTTTCTCTAATGATAGTGATGTTGAGCTTTTTTTCTATCATTGTTGGCCACATGTAGGTCTTCTTTGGAAAAGTGTCTGTTCATATCCTTTGCCCACTTTTAATGAGACTGTTTTCTTCTTCTAAATTTGTTTAAGTTCCTCATCGATGTTGGATAATAGACCTTTGCCAGATGCAGAGCTGCAAAAATTTTCTCCCGTTATGTAAGTTGTGTGCTTACTCTGTTTATAGTTTCTTTCAATGGTGAGGTAACAATCTTCATGCTATATTAAATTGATAAAAATATAATTAAAATTTTAAAAACCAAAAACTAAAGATATTTTTATGCCAAGTTTTATGCTCCATACAAATAAAATTCCTCTAATTCTAAATATGCTTGACCTTTTATTATTGTATAGAAGATAAAGTGCTTATCAGATTTTATTTGGTATAAAATTAATCTAACTATTAAAGATAAAAAGTCATTTATCTTAATATACTTCAGTTATTTTTTCTTTTGTGACATTCTAATTTATATATTATAACCCCTTTTTGTTTTTCACATCATTTTTTAAATAGTACTTTAGTGGTTTTTAGCTTTCCGTTTTTGCAGTAAAGTTTTGTTTTGAATAAAATCCTATACAAAATCAGAACATATAAGGCATAAACACAGTTTGAAATTTATTTTATAAAAATCGTTTCCAATTTAAGACCATACGTTTATCTTGATCTAAAATTTCTAACTAGACTTTCTGTAACATCTTTTGGAAATAAATTATTAAATTTCTCTAAATAGAGGGAATCCTTATTTATTCATTTCAGGATCTAACACTTAAAGCCTTCTCGCTTATCAATTTTGGGGTCATTATGGCAGTGCCAGTATAAAAGGGAGTCAGCTTTAATGCCACATGTCCTGAGTTCATGTTCCAACTCATCTACATGCTCTCCCTCTGAATGGAGAGAGACATTTAGCTTCTGTGGAGTCTCTATTTTTTTAATCTGCAATAATCATAATAATATAGATTTTCCTTATTGGTTCTTACTTTACAGAAAAACATTGTTACCAAATTTCAAGTAAATTACCAATATTTTTGAATTGTGATAAACTTCTTTGGTGTTAACACTAACATCTAGCCTTGCTCATCAGTAAAATGTCTTCTGGGGCAAAGAGAGCCATATAGTGTGGATTTGGTTGAGCGTAAAATCTCTTTAGCCAGACCACTGTGTTTAGATAATAGATAAAATACTGGTTATCATCTAGTCAAGATACTAAGTCAACTGTCTCTCAGTACCCTAACTGGTGGGATGGGAATAACTATTCTACTCACCTCACAGAGTTGTAAGTGTTAAGGATGCTACTTACACGACCACTAAGAAAGATGCTTGTGGCTCAATAAGTGTTCTTCAAGCATCACTATTATTAGGTCAAGTATGCATTAGAATATCCAAATCACAAAACTTCTGAGATGAAAGCATGCTCCCTTAATATATACAAACCAACACTTTCCCAAGAAAACTGGAAAATATGATCCACTTAGCTATTATAAATGAGCAGAGTCTACATTATTGTGTCTAAAGTGCCTCATAGAAATAAAATATTAACCAATCACAGAGCTATCAAGGAAAAAATGGTGAAACATATGAATTTGTGATAAATTTTGATAAAATTAGTCTTAGGGAAATCCTAAAATTAAAAGTAACATTAAGTAATTGAAAATGAAGGTCTGGCAGAGTTGAACATATTACAATGAAAAAAGGAAACCTACAAAGAGTCAGGAAATATACAAGGATGTATGCTTCAAAAAGAGTGGCTTTTGTCAAAATTGAAAGAAAGCCCTTAAATAATTGTTACAGAAATATTATTTCTGGTGATCACACTCTGAGAATAAAATGAGAAGTGATGGATTTCATGTTTTATTGTCATATACTTCTCTCAAGAGTTATATCAAACATAACTCACTCTAAGAGTTAGCATATATTGATAACTAGAACCAACATTTTATTAAATGAATGAAAAAATAAAGTTATAAGTTTATTGCATTCATTTTTATTTTATAGCTGAATTCCCAATATATTTTTAACATTAAATATGAAATGTTGATTTCAATTTTACATAATCTACTTTAATTTTTCATTTTCCAATACCAAATACCCTTGATATAGGACAACCTAGCCCTTCCTCAATAAGGTGACTATGAGGATTGAAAGGGGATCCACATCAGCAGCAGTCAGAAGGATGCTTTGTGCATGCTAAGAGCTTAATGTACTTTAAATTTCATTATTTACATTCACCCCTGTGCCAAATACTGAGATTACAAAACTAAATTAAATACAGATGATGCTGCCCTCTGAATGCTTACTCTGTCATTAGAGATCCTGTTATTCTAAATACATGTTACAAACCAACTTAATACTATGAGTGACAGAGATTGGCCAAAAATTCTCATTAGGGATGTGGTTAGAGACAACTTGCAGAATGATTTCAAGCCATTTAAACCAATAAAGTGTAGTTACCAGAGAGTTGGTGAAAACTACAGAACTCCCAGCACTTAAGGACTCGATCCAAACCTGCACTGAGACCTGATCAAACTCTACTGTGGCTTTTAGTAGTTTAAGGAATCATCTCTAGGATCACCCTAGTCCCCGCTCTTAATATGCCCTACAGGAGAATTGACTGTTCCAGCCCAAACCTAGTGATATGCAGATAGGCCCCTGGACCAGCTCTTAAAGCAGTTATTTTAGAAAACTTGGAATTGTGAACACTTTCTCTGCCTTTTGAGATGCAAATATACCACAAGGAAACTGTTTCCTCCAAGACTTGGAGGCTATCTCTTTGAAGTGTAAGTGTTCTGGAAGGTACCTCTCCCTCTTGTTTTCAGTACCTGTGGGAATATAAGGGCCTGAGTTCCATGGGCACCTTACTCTAACTCGTACCACTGCCTCCTGTCACAAAGATAGAAATTTGTTTCTCCTGCGATAACAACCAGTTAACAAGCTCAGATGGCCTAGTCACATGGACCAATTCCCCTTCACATAAGTTAGTGCTTTTCCCTTAAGACACCCCAGACTTTAAAAAGTCTCCAGCCTTTTGTTTCATGAAGGCAAATTTTGTTTGGACCGGGCCCTCTTCCCCACTGCAATAGTTGTTGAATAAAATCTATCCTATCGCTTTAAATAGTGCCCAGCCTTATTTGACACTGAAGTGTTAAACAGAATTTAAGAATACTTCAGGCATATTCCCTAACTTTTTTGATTCAGCTTAAGAGAAAATAGCCTTCTCTTCTATTTATTAATCTTAAACAACAGAACAATCTCCTTATATAATTAGATCACGTGAGCTTTTGTATTTAAGACACTGTTTCTGCTGACTGTTGTGCTGATACTCATTATTTAGTGTGTGTGTATATATATATATATATATTCCTTAGAAAAGGATTGTCACCAAAGTGGAAACAGCTGTACTTTTTGTCACTACAAACTTGATGCTTTACAAAGGAATCAGCAGTATCAGAGGCATGTATGCAGAAGGAAAGTGTGGGTGAGCTGAAACCTTGTGCATGTCCTGGGTCTTCATGTCCGTAGATTCAGTCTTTTTCCTCCTTACTCTTCTCTGTATTTCAGGGTAGCTTCTCTCTCATTCAGATGCTCTAGTTACTTTCAACAAAGACATTTGGTGCATTAGAGAAGTAATTTAGGAAAAAGCCAGGATTTTTCTCCTTGCTCCCCTCTGCTGTGATCTGGCTTCCTGAAGAGCCCTCCTGGTTGCATTTTCCCCAGAGGACTCAGGTGCTGGCCTCCAGGAGTACTGGGTCCCCCTTTGCTCTTCACTGTAGGGAGAGTGGGGGTTTTCTGTACTTGCTAATCTCAGTATGGTCACACCATGTCCAGCATGGCTTGTCAGCTTTTCCATGATCGGTGTAAGCAATTCTATGTCTTACAATTTATCCTTTATAAAAATGTAATGACGTATCTGTTTCCTGGTTAAACCCTAACGGATACAAACCCCCTGAAGGGAAAATGAAGTTAATGATGTGAGTAAGCAGTAGGAGATAGTCAGAAGTAACTTAAACTGTAAAACAAGTCAATTCTTGTAAAATAGAGACTTGTGTCTTAGACTTTCCCTACAATGATGATAGGTTGCCCTTTATGTGTCATTTTAATAAAACAAGCACAGTTAATTTTAGGAGAGAATAATATAGAGTGAGTCTATGTTTCTAGGATCACGGTTTAGCCTATCATAGATATTGTGTCATCTAAAATAGCCTATAATATGCTAAAAATTGCCATAACAATATGCAGTTTTTAGATCCGCATATGGGATTTTAGAAATTCAAAAACAGCAACAACAATGACAGCAATAAAGTTGTACGTAGCCTAAACTATCATTCTCCCACCTACATCAGTTTCTAATTCAGCTTCTAATTAGTTGAAACTAATTATTTTCAGTTTTCCCCTCAGTAAAAGCATATTTATATAATCAGTATTCATTCATAAATATGTAATAGTGACCAAAAGCAGTGTAGAAGAGCTATTTATCACTAAAGAACACACACTACAATTATTTCAGCCTTATAAATTATCAGACATAAATATTTTATTTTATAAGAAATTATTTTTATTTGTATTGTTTAATAATTACCCAGTCTTATACAATAGTTTCTTTAAAAAAATCAAAATGATAATTTTAAAAAACTACATTTCTTCCCCAAATATCATTGCCTATAATATATAGATTAGTATTTCTTGAAGTTTGGCCTGAGAATGACCATATAGAGAACAATCACTTAAAGTGTCTGATAAAATTACAGTTTTCCAGTGCTGGTCTTATTACAAATATATCAAAGTATCTGAAAGTGGGCCTTAGAATGCATGTTTTTAGTTCAAGAGATTCTGCATTAATATACAATAAAATCTTAGAACCACTGATTTAGAAAATTGAAGTCAATTTGTCCAGTTCAAGTTATATCTAATTTTATAAAATAAGCTATAAAATGTTCAGAAAATATCAACATGCTTATATCAATAGACATTTAATATTACAATAGTGAGTAGTAAAGAACTTGCAGATGTAACAGGCACTTTGCACTGAAATGTAAAAACCCATCAAAGTACTATCTGCAGCTAAAATTCAGATGAGACGTATAAAAGATAAAAAACAAGTAGAAATGCAGGATACAAGACTGGCACAGAAACATCTATCTTCAGAATGAAACACAGTATATCAATGTACACTTAGTAAGCTAAAATGGGCAATAATCAGAGAGAAGATTCTAACCTAAGTGATTACATTAGCAGCGGCAGTTGGAAAATTTAGCGCTGGTTTTATTTAGTACTACATAAGGACTCTACAAAATTAGTTTCAACAAAAATAGCTTTATGTCAGCTTTCAGATTTAGACTATTTCTGGTAAGTTGACCCACCCAACTGGTGGTGAAAGTTTAGTTTGACCATTTGGATCAATATGAGGTAAAGCAAAATTGTAAATAAATCGTAAATTAGGCACACTACAGTTGGCAACTCAAACTAAGATTCACCCTATTTGCCGATGGTTTTAAAAGTGAAGATTACCATTACAACACTCTCATGCACGCTTTGTCTTTGTCTGTCACACCCACCCTTCTATTGCCATACTAAACTCCAGTAACAAGTATCCAATTGCAATTCCTGAAATGAAGACTACCCTTTGAAGTGTCCGTTCATATCCAGTGGCATTGTTTTTTGATAGTGAAATTATTTTCTTCCCGCTACCTGGAGTCCTCAAAAATGCTACCTCCTCCAAGATGGATATACTAAGACACAGACCACAAGTAACGTTATTGTATTTTATCATTTTTCTTGGGGTACTCAGAATATCTTTTGATAAAAAGAATATTTAAAATGCGATTTAGCCCACTATAATGTGCATTTTATTTACTCCATTTGTTAAAAGGTAAGTCTATTTTCTCTTCTGTTTCATGGCGCTCACTAGATCTTGAAATCTGAAGATGTCTCATATTAAAAAAAGTATAGTGAAGGAGAATTCCAATTTGATCATGTTGCCCAAAGTAATATTTCATGGTACACAAAGATATCCTCTATACTGTAATAAGTAAATAATTTGGTTTCTTATTTAAAATTTAATGAAGAATAGGATACATCCATTTGATTAAATGACGAATAAAAAGGATATCATAGAATTTGCATATCATGGCAAGTCTTATTGTTTTTTGTAAGATTTCCTGGTAAAAGATAAAATAAAAGATAAATTAAAATAGTGTTTAATGTATGTTGATGAAATAAATTTGTTAAACATAACAGAGACTAATAGTTATATATCAGTTTGAGAGATATATTTAATATGTGACCTAAGTTGACTTGGTTAAACCCATATAGATAATAAAGCTAATTTTATTATGAAAGCACAGAAAAAGGCATAATGCTGTTGACTTTTTGAAAGAGAGACAAATAAATTGGGTGTCAATATTTTAAAATATACAAGAAATGATAATCTGATTGAATTGAATTTGCTGATGAAGCACCCTTGTTTTTTGTTGTTCTAGAGCACGGTCCCAGTGTAACAAGTATGTGAAACTAGATAGAGAATTTTAGCATTTAGGTAAATAATTTAACAATCCATGAGACTTTGTAGCATATTAACTTTATTTAGAATTTTTTGGTCCACTTCCAGTCATAAAAATTTATCTATATAATTAATTTTACTCTTAATGCTCTCAAGCACTATTTAGCTACAATATTTAAATAAACCAATTTTTAAAAGCAAAATATACCATTAAGTATAATGTGCAAATTTGTAAGAAAAAGATTTTGCCAATATTTACATTTAATAAGATATATAATTATATACACACACTATATATCTCCATGCCATTAATATTTTTAAAATAATAATGTATACATAGGTTATGATCATTGACTTCCCAAAACATCTACCATGTATCAATGAACCATACTTCACTGATTTTAACTACACCAGTCAAATGTTCTCTTATAATAGATACTTTTGTTTGCAAGAACAGGACATTCTTAGAGGGTAAATGATTTTTCAACCCATTTGTACTGATTCCTAAGTTTTTAATGTCACTCAGAAATAGTGAGCTAAACTGAAGAATGTCAAAACATGTTGAGATCATATGAACAGTTCTCTCCGAGTAGTATTTTAAATCACTTACTTTTTCTTATTCTTGTAGAGAACCTGTCAAATATATATTCTATGAGAAATTAAGAAACTTAATATTAAAAGGTATCAAATTCAGGTTTTATCAATGTGACTTTTAATGCTTATACTGTCCTTCAGTGAGTATGAAGTGAAGCAGTTTTATATTGTTACATATTTTATAATGCTATTTTCTATAACTTTCCTTCTAAAAGTCAAGGACTTTTAATTTTTTAGTTTATTCAAGCAATTTTATTAAAAAGTGAATAGGAAACCTTATATCTTTAAAAATAGTGGACAAAAATCCCTAAATTCTTACTCAAACCCAGTAAAACTGGTGTTAGTTGTTACATGTTACACTTAGATGAAAAATTTTATTTTGTTGCTTTTCTTTTGTATGTTGAACTTAATATTTCCATATTTCTACACTGTCTAAACTATTTTAGCTAATGCATAATGTGATGTTTACAGAGTTAATGATTTTTTTGTTTCATTCTGTATTTTAAGCTTGCAGATCTCCATAGATAAATGTAAAAGGACATTATCAGAGAATGTACATAAAATATAACTTTTATGTTTATTTAATGGGCTGTACTTGATGGATAACAACCAGTGAATGATTATAATTTTTATTAATAGTGTGACTTTTTCCTTTTTGTCACATTTTCCTACCGTGAGTGTGGTAAACATTTGAAACATAACCCATAGGCCGGGCGCGGTGGCTCATGCCTGTAATCCCAGCACTTTGGGAGGCCAAGGCGGGCGGATCATGAGGTCAGGAGATCAAGACCATCCTGGCTAACACAGTGAAACCCTGTCGCTACCAAAAATGCAAAAACAAAATTAGCTGGGCGTGGTGGCGGGCACCTGTAGTCCCAGCTACTCTTGGAGGCTGAGGCCGGAGAGTGGCGTGAACCCCGGAGGCGGAGCTTCCAGTGAGCCGAGATTACGCCACTGCAGTCCAACCTGGGAGACACAGGAGACTCCGTCTCAAAAGAAGAAAGAAACATAACCCATAAAGTTTTTAAACATCTTAGGTATGAATAGTCACATTTTAATCACTGAAACCGAAATTGAAGCTCTAAATTTAAAATATTAATGTGTAATTTGTTTCAGTGACTTCGCCACCACCACCAGTAGTTTAAAGCCCCCTGAAGAATTAGGAAGACAAGCAGAGGTATAGAGAATTGAGGCCTGTTTTTTTCATTTCCATTGCTCCAATGTCCTCTCTTATGTACTATGAGCTCCAGTGTTCCTTCATCCTATTCTTACCATCTCCTCCCTTACTCAAATTGGATGGAAGGAAATGTCCTAAGGCCCTTTTTCTTATCTTATGTTATTTAGTGTTTCATATTAGCTTTTGAGTGCCTGTTCTCATCTGATAAGTTATTCTTGTGCATTCTTTAGTGGACTTCTCTAGGCATCTTAAATAATTTCCTGTGATTCTGTTTCAAGGAGCCTTATATGGAAGAAAACAGTTATGCTTGCATAAATTTAAATATTACCCTCATTATTAAACAAATTACCATTAGCGACTCTATGATTGTTAGTGTACCACTGGGGATAGAGAATTTTACCTCTCTTATATGACATTACGCAGATTAATATTCTGACTGAAAGCACTGACTTTCTTCTGTATCTTAGATAAGTAAAGATTGATTTATCCAAACTGTGTATATAGTTTGCCTTTCAGTCAGTTTTTAACTACTGCTAACATTTTTTCACACAGAGGATATACTCATTTATTACAGAGATGGAATTGAGAAAAATAACCTGTTCCCTTTATGGCTAAACCTTTCTAGCAAAGTGCAGAAGACATATGTTATGATGACTCATTGGTCTTCTAAGCATCTATAATTTGAAAGGGCTAAATCTAGACATGTGATTGGACTAAAACTTAGATATTAAAATGCTGCCAAAAATATAGACGAATATATCAAACTTGTAGATTGTCGGTAACGCTGGATCTATTTAGAAAGGACTGTGTCCACTTGACACTCTTACAAAAGAAGTGAGAGATTAGTCTTTTCGATGGGGTCAGTTATTCACACAGTATTTGACTTATGTGGCCTTACATTCTGAATTTATTTATCATGCATCCTCAAAATCCAATCCTAATTATAATATGCATTTTCATGGACACTTTAACCAATAAAAATCCAATGATAAGAGACAAGGGGTATTACATAATTCCAATTAAGAGTTTCCATTTGTACTATAGCCAGTAATGCTAACTGCAGTAGTAGATAATCTAGCAAATCTCATAGGCTTATTACAATAAGAATAAATATAACACCATGGAATAACAAAATAGGAAATAGAAAAAATTTATTTCTTAAAAGATGTGATGGTTCAATCCAAGGGTTTGGTGGGTAGCATTTCATGCTGTGATTTAGGTTTCCTTGTTTCTCCCATTTTTCATCTCTATGATGTGAGAGGGCCTTGGAGTTCTCTGCTTCTATTTAGGTCATAGTAAAAGATGAGTTGGAAAAGGCATATCTTACTACTATGGCCCTGAAGGAACATTAGTAATAAGGAATTTTTTATTCCATTGATATTAACTAATCATATGTCTCCTCCTAAATGCTAAATGTTCTGGAATATATAGTCCTTGGATGGACATCTGCTTCCTAGCACCAAATCTGCACTACAGAAGGAAGCATCACTCCTTGCATATTTTTAACTCTCTGTCCACAATCCCTAATAAATGTGTGCTTAGCATTACATAAAACGTACAAATAAAAATGTGCATATAAAGAAAAAACAAATTCAAATATATTTTAGTTCTCCAGTATATGACATAAAAAACTGATGAGAAATTAGTATTTTCATGAAGGATTTGAATAATATCTTACATATGAATAAATATATAGAACTATGTTTTGTCCAAAAGATTTTCTTGTCAGATGTTTATAAAATATGCCTTTTAATATATTTCTAAAGCAAGATTTTCAGGTTATGTTTTTAGATGGAAATTAAATTAAAAGAGTAATATCTGACATTAATAATATTATTTTATGTACTTTGTATATATATTACAAATCTCTAAACAAATATATGAGGTTCTAGTGATACATTCATTTCTCAAAAATGAAAGCTAAAGCAAAAACAAATGAGTTTCCTTTATGTGATAAATCCAGATTGGAACTCAACCTGTCTTTACTATGGATCTCTAGAATTCTTTTCTTCCTTCCTAGGATAACTATTTCTGCTCCTCCAGGTAAAGGATGTAAGTGAATTGTAACTGCAGCTTTAACCATTCACGTACCACAAATTATACTGCTTATGCACTCACATTTCAGTTCAGACTACGCAGTATTTAATAAATATGCATGGCTTATCCTTAAGCTTAAATCATGTTGAGAGTATATGAACATCATTCTAACATCATTTGTTAATATGAAAATTCATATTTATTTGTTTTTAGCTTTTAATTTCAGGGGTACATGTGCAAAATGTGCAGGTTTGTTACATAGGTAAATGTGTGCCATAGGGGTTTGTCATACAGATTATTTTGTCACCCAGGTATTAAGCCTAGTATCCATTAGTTATTTTTTTCTGACTTTCTCCCTCTCACCCTCCACCCTCTGGTAGGCCCCAGTGTGTGTTGTTTCCCTCTATGTGTCCATGTGTTCTCATCATTTAACTCCCACTTATAAGTGAGAACATGCTGTATTTGGCTTTCTGTTTCTGCATTAGTTTGCTGAGAATAATGGCCTCTAGCTTCACGTACGTCCCTGCAAAGGACGTGATCTCATCCTTTTTTATGGCTGTACAGTATTCCATGGTGTATATGTACACATTTTCTTTATCCAGTCTATCATTGATGGACATTTAGGTTGATTCCATATCTTTGTAATTGTGAATAGTGCTGCAATGAACATGTGCATGCATGTGTCTTCATAATAGAATTATTTATATTCCTTTGGGTATATACCTGATAATGAGATTGCTGGGTTAAATGGTATTTCTGCCTCTAGGTCTTTAAGGAATTACCACACTGTCTCCCACAATAGTTGAACTAATTTACACTGTCATCAATAGTGTAAAGACATTTTCTTTTCTCCACACCCTCACCAACATCTGTTATTTTTTGACTTTTTAATAATTGCCATTCTGACTGGTGTGAGATCATATCTCATTGTGGTTTTGGTTTGCATTTCTCTAATGATCAGTATGGTGTTCATCATTTTTTCATATGATTATTGGCCACATATGTGTCTTCTTTTAAGTGTTTGTTCATGTCTTTTGCCCACTTTTTAATTGGGTTGTTTTTTTTTCTTGTAAATTTGTTTAAGTTCCTTATAGATGCCATATATTAGACCTTTGTCAGATGCATAGTTTGCAAAAATTTTCTGCTATTCTGTAGGTTGTCTGTTTACTCTGTTGATAGTTTCTTTTGCTGTGCAAAGGCTCCTTAGTTTAATTCATTGTCCATTTTTTCTTTGGTTGCAATTGCTTTTGTCATCTTCACCATGAAATCTTTGCCCATTCCTATGTCCTGAATTGTATTGCCTAGGTTTTCTTCTAGGATCTGTATAGTTGGGGGTTTTTAACTTAAATCTTTAATCCATCTTGAGTTTATTTTGGGGGACGGTGTAAGGAAGGGGTCCAGTTTCAGTCTTCCGCATATGACTAGCTAGTTGTACCAGAACCATTTATTTAATAGGACATCCTTTCCCCATTGCTTGTTTTTGTCAGGTTTGTCAAAGATCAGATAGTTGTAGGTGTGTAGTCTTATTTCTGGCTTCTCTATTCTGTTCCATTGGTCTATGTGTCTGTTCTTTTACCAGTAGCATGCTGTTTTGGTTACTGTAGCCCTGTAGGATAGTTTGAAGTCAGGTAGCATGATGCCTCCAGCTTTGTTCTTTCTTCGTTGGATTCCCTTGGCTATTCAGGCTCTTTTTTGGCTCCATATGAATTTCAAAATAGTTTTTCTAGTTCTGCGAAGAATGCCAGTGGCAGTTTAATGGTAATACCATTGAATCTATAAACTGCTTTGGGCAATATGGCCATTTTCACGATATTCCTTCTGCCTATCCATGAGCATATAATATTTTTCCATTTGTTTTTGTCATCTCTAATTTTCTTTGAGCAATAGTTTGTACTTATCTTTGTATAGAGCCTTCATATTCCTTATGAATAAAATACGAATATTCCATACGAATAAAATATCTGTATTCGTAGGTATTTTATTCTTTTTGTAGCAATTGTGAATGGGAATTCATTAGTGATCTGGATCTTGCCTTGACTGTTGTTGGTGTATAGGAATGCTAGCAATTTTTGCGCATTAATTTTGTATCCTGAGACTTTGCTGAAGTTGCTTCCCGCATAAGAGGCTTTTGGGCTGAGAAAATGGAGTTTTCTAGATATGGGATCATGTAATCTGCAAACAGTAGTTTAACTTTCTCTCTTCCTATTTCAATGCACTTTATTTCTTTTCCTTGCCTGATTGTCCTGGACAGAACTTCCAAAACTGTTTAATAGGAATGGCAGGAAAGGACATTCTTATCTTGTGCCAATTTTCATGGAAGTGCTTCCAGCTTTTGGCCATCCAGTATTATATTGGCTGTGTGTTTGTCATATATGGCTCTTATTATTTTGATGTATGTTCCTTCTATACCTGGTTTATTTACATTTACATTTTTAACATGAAGGGATGTTGAATTTTATCAAAAGCCTTTTCTGCATCTATTGAGATAATCATGTGGTTTTTGTCTTTAGTTCTGTTTATGTGATGAATCATATTTATTGGTTTGTGTATGTTGAGCCAACCTTACATCCCTGGGATGAAACCTGCTTGATCATGGTGGATAAGCTTTTGGATGCGCTGTTTGATTCAGTGTGACAGTAGAAAATTCATATTTAAAAACTGTTGTTACAGACACCAGGTTTTTAGAAACCAATGACAATTAACAACACCTTCCCCTACCTCTTTTTGCTTATATATCACAATCTCATTGCATTGAAACAACTCTTTTGCAGTTGAAGAATATTTGCCAGTTTATGGTGGTTGATCTTTTAAAAATATATAGCACGTAATTATTATGACTATTTCAACAATGAACAAAGTAGTTACGTACTGGTGTCTTGTGTTTAGCAGTTTTCTAAAATACAACTTTGTGTGCAGACTAACATGATAACTGAGTCAAATAATCGTCTGCAAAATTCAATTTATTTTTCACAATATTCTCAGTTGTTTTTATTACTTAGAGATAGCAATTCAAATTATTTTTCTACACAAGACATCTACATTATTGCAATTGTAAATATACCACAATATACATAATTTAAGAGGTATTGTACTGAGATTATTTGTGTCATTTCAGATGAATTCCTCTTTTTATTGGCCTTAAATATTAGTCTTCTTTAATACATTTATAATATTTTTCCATTTCTGAGAAACTAATAGTAATGAAGCCACAGGTTTTATTAAATGATCCTATTGCCAAATGACTTTTATTTATTTAGAGTGTACATACTGAATAGTATATAATTTTTCTTTATGTTGCAATCATTTCTACTCTTTTAAATGTCTATTAATGTAACATAAACGCATAACTCAAAATAATCATTTAATATTTTCTTCTCATAATAATAAAGGTCCTAAATTATTACCAAATGATTTATTACAATCACAATAGTCTTGCGAAGTGCGTAAAGGATCTAAAGGTAAAGAGTGAAAAATGACACCAATAGCATTTACTCTTTTGCATGAGAAATAATCAAAAAATAGAGTTGATAGCAGTTAAAAGCACTTCATTTTGACCTTCAAAGTTACTCTTTTATTATTGTTAGATATTAGGTAACAAAATACAAGTATACTTTGAAGATTAAGCTTTCATTTTATTCTTATAATGAAAGGTAGCTACAATATTACCTGAACTAAGTTGTTTTTATAGGTGAGCAATAGTTTGCAACAAGTTCGTTTTTTGTTACCTACCTTGGTCAGGCCTGTTATTTCATATTCTATCACTAGGTTCAATGAAATATTTTAAATGTATTTTGACATGTATTAAAAATGTCTAACTAAAATGTAAACACTTTCAGTTTACAATGTCTTCATGTAAATAATACAATATACTTTTCCTTTTTACTGTATATATAAAATGATGCACAGATGACTCCAGGCAAATACTCGCAAGAAAGGAAATCAAGTGCTAGCTTTCTATACACTGAGGTTTATTATTCACCAGGCAGGAAGCTACAGGACTGTACTGGAGATTGCAGACACCATACTGAAGGACTTTGTGACCTTCAATTGCTTTTTGACCCATATAAAAATGTGTACATACATATATATACACACATATACATATAAAGCAACACACATACGTACATACCTGTATATATATATAAACACATCTACACACATAATACTCAATTTTTTTTGTTATTTCATCATGAAAACAATCTTTGCTGGAATTTCTTTACTATACAATTCAGCCATTATATTGGTGGAAGATTGGCCCTCTTTGAAACACATGTTGATGGAAGAATGGTCCTCTCTGAAACATAATCTCTGCTCTCCCACACCCCTATCCATTTCAACTGCAAAATACACTCTTGCATCTAGTGACTCTAACTAAATCTAAGCCTCATAAGACCAATAGGCTGTTTCTTTCCTGTATGGTGCCATCTGTCAGAAAAGTGGAGGCTGTCTCTGTTCTAGAAACCTACTGGTTCCTGGCATTGCTACCTGTCTCTCCACTTGAAGCTATAAATAGCAATTTCCTGTCCTCCATGCCCTGTTGTGATGCCATATGTTGCTACACTCAGAGAAGGCCAAAACAACTGCAGCCCAGCTATTGTTTATCAACACCCAACTGGCAGAGATGAAATTGAACCAGCAGTTACTGTGCAACAACACAATAGATTTTCAGGATACTTCATTTGTCTATGCAGTTTTTGCTACAGATGCCATTTATTTTTGTAAACTACTTTTGGGGTCAAATAGCACAACAGCACTGTTAGTTGCCTATTAAACATCCACTCTCTCTTTCTGCCTCGTTAATTAAACTACAAAATGTTACAGGTAACCAGCTTGGAGTGACTCTATTTCCAGCTCAGAGGTAAATTCTCATTAGTTGACATCCATCCTGGCCATCTCATTCCCTTTGCCTATGATTGATTTAGCAATTGTTAAGTGACACAATTCCGATAAATTAGATGAAAGAGAAAGTCTACTGGGGGCTTCTAGAAAAGTTTCCAGACTTATCTAAAGGGACACACATAGGGAAGATATAGTCCCTTTTCCAACAATGAATGCTACAGTCTCCACAAATGAGGCTTAAAGTTGTGGCAGAATTGTAGTACTGTAACAGGAACTGGCCTCAAGTCAAAGTTGAGAATGACAGGACTGAAAGATTCTGGATTCATGACAAAATAGTTTAGCCATTAAATTAATCATCCTACATCTGAACATCTTGAGGAAGATAATAATACATTTTCCTTAAATGATAAAGGTGGTAATGAAGTTTCTGTTGTGTTTGCAGGAATTTTTATGTTGTTGGTTTATCTCCCTCTCTCTTTCATGATTGCCTAATTGGGAGATGAAACTATTGATCTTGCTACCTAGGCCATTCTGATGTATGAAGGCCTTCTTTTATGAGGGTTATAAAATAGTACAAATTCTTATTTTAAATATTTGAAACTCTACCGACAGAGTCTAACACCACAGTCCATTGACTATTGTGGGGATCAGGCTTGTTATATATTCCCAACCTTCTTATATGAAAGTTAAGTGGAAAGAAACATCAATATCTGAAAAGACTGAAAATATCTCAGGAGGCTATTCTTTATAAAATGATCAAGGATCTCAATTTCTTTACCCTCTGTGAACAATTAGAATTCTGACAGTAATCAGAATCAATATATATCCACTTATACCTCATCATCTCAACAAGAGTGAAACTTATGCTATTGCCATTGATTCTTAATATTTCTTGGTTCCTTTAATAGAATAGATAACTCAATTTGTTTGGAAGCCTCAGATTGGGTGAAGGCCAAAGTTCAACTTAATTTGTATTTGTAAATGAGTATAATTGAGTGGATACAGAATCTCTTTTCCGTAATTCTCACTCATCACTCTGTCAATCATCCCCTTTCCACCAAAACGGAAGCTTCTGTAGATGTTCGTCTACTTATGCAATTATTTATTGTGGCAAATAAATCTTAAATTTCTTTGTATAGTAAGTCTTTTAGGGTATGTTGGTTAAGGGTAGAGAGGTGTATTAGGATTTTTTTACCTCTTTTTTTGAAATGTAACTATTTTTAAACTTATATAACCCCTACAATTAATTTTTCTCTAAAACATTATCTGAAAGCTCAGATCTTCCTTCAAATCATGATAGTTTCATTCTATTATTATCAGCATTTAAAATCTTCAGCTCCTTTCCATCCTTTGTATATTTCCTTTTATGTATAGATAGGATTTCCTGGATATGTTCCTCACTTACACAAGTTTAACTTCCAGCAGATTTTTTTTTTTTGAGTCCTAGGCGAGTGTGTTCTACTTTAGTTGTTCAGTTTTCTGTACTAATCAGTCTACTGTTTACGGCTTCAATCAAGGACTTGCATTTACCAATCATGTTTTTCATTTACATGTAATTATGCTTTATCTTAAACGGATTTTTCTCCATAACTACTTTCTCTATTTTTATGAATACAGCATCTTCCTATATCTTTTAGGGAATATAAAAGAGACATTTTCTATGATTGCTTCCTGTTTCTTTACATATGTTTATTTGAGGAAGAAAGAGGATGAAGAAGAGCAAGAGAACAAGAGACTCTGTTCTCTGAAATTTAAATGTTTACCTGAGATCTGTAGTAATCTTTCAAACCTTAAATAGGTCTTGTACAATTTTGCAGTTTGCTCATTTGCAAAGTAATTCATTTTCTTGTTCTTAGAGGAAGCTAAAATGTGCTGGCTTTTACTTAACAATCTACTTGACAAATACTGATATGATACATGCTGGGTGCCTGGAACTCTTCTAATCTGTAGACATATGGCAGTGAAAAAAATCAGCAAAGATCTTAACTCTTGAAGCTGACATGATAAAGCAGCACTATCTATTAGAACTTTCTTTAATAACAGAAATAGTCTGTGCTGTCCAATATGGTACCCCCTAACCACATGTGTAGATTGAGGCAGAAGAGTCTTAAATTTCCATTTAATATGGCTAGTGTGACTGAAAAATTATATTTAAAATTTTATTTAATTTAAATTTCAATAGCCACATGTAGCTAGTGTCTACATACAAGACTGCTCAGGTTAGGCTGTGAAAGACAGATGATAAATAAGTAAAGGAAAAAGGTATTTTCTGATAAGGAGTTCTGAGAGAAAATTGAGATAGTGAAAGAATATAGACAATGATTAGGATGGAAGGCCTTACAGTCCTTAGATTGTATCATAAGAACAATCTCTCCGTAGAACTAAGAAGTGAATTAACATCTGAATGATACAGAGTTACCTGTTCAAAAATTTACTGTAGAAATATTCAAGCAGAACGGAAGCAAGAGCAGAAGCCCTCAGGTAGAAGCATCAGGGGATTCAGGAACTAAAAGAACAGCATGGCTGGAGTAGTGAGGAAGAAGAATAAAGTTTGAAGCAGCAGCTGGTACATACAGAGCCTGGTAGCCACTTCATTTTATACCACGTACCATTCTTCATACAGATAGATTTGATGAGTTTCTAAGAGGAAAGAGACATCTCAGAGTAGGAAGTATGGGAGAAAATGATGATATGTCTTAGAGTTTTCATCAAGTTTATAATAATTCACTTGTGAAAGAGTCTTTTGAAGTTCACAAATAATAGCTGTTAGTATGAGCTCTCAGAGATGGACGTAAGATTAAAAATATTTAGAAATTTGACAAATTTATTCAGAGAACCTGTGAATCAATAGTCAATGTTCTCATCATATTACTGCAGAAGATGATTTTGGATTTTTTTGCATTATTTTCCTTATCTTCTTTTAAAACATGTTAGTGCAAAGCTATCAAATAGAAGAGCTTGGAAATACAATGTATGTTTATGAAGACATATTACTCATAAAATTTCAAAAAACAGGGACAAATAATTGAACATCCATATTTTTTAGATAAATAAAAGTTTCAGTGGTTGATAACTTACAGATTTTAATGCTAAGTGCTAAAAGTGGGACTTATAATCTGGGTTCAGTCACTCTCTGTTCACTTTTTCCTCAAACAATAATGCAACAACACCTTCTCTGTGTTATCAGTTAACCTTAAAAGATACTTTTCATAAAGAAGCATAAATATCCTGGTATTTAATACAAAAATACTACTAATTTAATTAGAAATATAATTTTTTGATATTAAGAGTAAGGTTAAAATACAGTCGAACATTTTCCTGGTATTTTATTATGGTTTAAAACTTCGTCTTTAGACTAGACATAGAGTTAACCCTATGTCTATGATTACTATATTGAATAAGGTTCCATATGACAGCTTTAAACAGTTGTATATCTATATCATGTATATATATGTATATATCTTTATATACATACATGAGTATGTATATACATAAGTATGTATGAGTTTATATATGATTGTATATGTATTTGTGTTGGGGTGTGTGTGTATATATGTATGTATGTGTGTGTATAATAAGCTTCTTTCAAAATTTTATAAACCATGGCTGCGGGAAAAGTCGCCCGACACTTGGCTTTCATTGCAACCACATTCAAGGGTATGCATGTCATAAACACACTCTACCATACAACCATACACCTCATCTTGAACAAGTTTGCTACATAATTATATAAGCATTTGACATATTTCACCTGTATTTCCTTGTCTAAGACAGCCAATAAGGCCTCTGATACTTGTGTAGAGTTAATGCTCTCTCCTAGCTTCTGTGGAAAGACACACAACTACTACTGGGTATAAGCTGTTCCAAGTGAGGCCCCTACAGCTAAAGCTTCATCAGCTGCATAACTATTGTACTGTTTACTTTTTTTAGTCATCACAGTCATGTTCCCTATTGTCTTGAAAGGCAATTTGGTCACTAACTTGATTTTGAAGTTTCATCATCTTTTTCAGCACATTTTTATTCCTCAGAATATTGAAGATAATATTTTTCAGAGTTCATCAATATAAGAATCATGGAATTCCATGCTGGCACTGTAGGCAATGGTGGCATCTAAGTCTTGTTAAAAGTTTGTATAATTTCTCCTAATATCGGGTAACAAGAAAAGTAACATGGATGATAAAAGAGGTAATTTGGGGATTAGAGAAAATATGGGTGTGTTGGTGAAGAACTAAGAGGCAGGAACAATATCTTTGATAGATTCAATTACAGTCTCATGTTGACTTCCTCTGAGCATGGAGAGTGTACCCAGCTAACACTTGCTCATGTGTAGTGCTTTCATTTTTTTTTTTTCTGAAAAGATTCCCAACTACAGTATGGCTGGGGCTCTGTTTTTCATCTGGCTGCCTAATTCAAACAATGTCCACCTCGGGTTATAAATACAGTAATAACATCCAGTTTATTTCTATTAATCCAGCCTGGTCCTTATCTTCAGGACCTTCTTCTATTCTGCAGAGTGAAGCAACACATTCTTAGCTCAGCTCTTACTCCACTACTGAGGCCACTTCAGCCATGTTCTTTCCTGAATATTTTTTAGGCAAGAATTGGATTAGACAGCTGTCCTACACGAGTTCCCTGGGAACTATATCAGGTTTTTTCTGGGGGCCTCGTAAAACTAAATGCCACAATACTCAATGGCTTTTTTTACAAACAACAATAACAACAACAAAAGAAAACTCAGCACTTTACATCTTCAGCTTTGGCTGGTTCTCCATTATTAAGGTGCAAGGTGTTCTTCTAAGAATCACAAAAAAGTATCTATTTATTAGGAAAGTTGTTTGACAGTGTTATGCAAGTCTTATATCCTTATTGATTTTCTGTCCACTTGTACCAATTGTTATGTTAGGGTTGTTGACATCTTTGACTACAACTGTGAATTTGTCTACTGGAGAAACGTTTTGTTCCTTGTATTTTGAAACTCTAGTATTCAGTGCAAAAGAATACTCAGGATTATTGTTTCCTCTACACTAAAATTTTCCTTTATAAATAAGAAATGAGCTCTTACCTCTGGTAATATTATTTGATCTAATAGCCTGTGTCTCATAATCATATACCCCAAATAGCTGTCTTTATTTAAATAAACTTTTTATTTTGGAATAATTTTATATTTACAAAAATGTTACAAAGACAGTACACAATATTTCTCTATACTCTTCATTTAGCATCTCCTAATGTTAAGATCTTATATTACCTTGATACATTTATCAAAACTAAGAGATTAATATTGGTTTATTACCATTAACTAAACACCAAACGTTTTTAGGTTTCACTAGTTTCACAAGTAATGCCATTTCTGTATTCCAGGATTCAATCCAGGATACCACATTGCATTTAATCATCTTGTCTCTTTGATCTCCTCTGATCTGTGACAATTTCTTCATCTTCCCTGTTTTTCGTAATCTTTATTGTTCTGAAGACAGTTTGGTGAGTTATTTTGTAAAATACCCTTCATTTTTAGTTTCTTTAGTGATCTCTTTATTTTTAGACAGAGGTTATAGGTTTTGGGGAAGAAGATCACAGAGGTAAAGCACTCTTCTCATCATATCAAGTCAGAGATACAAAACATCCACACGATATTCCCAGTAATATCAGCCTTCATCATTTAGTTAAGGTGGGGCTAAGGTAGGTCTGCTGAGTCTCTTAACTGTAAAGTTACTATTTTTCTCTTCACACACTCTATTCTTTGGAAATGAATATCAGGTCCAGTCTACACTCAAGATGGGGGTGCAGGTAAGGTGTGCTTAATTCCATCTCTTGGAGAGAAGAATATCTATATACATTATTTGGAATCTCTAAGGAAAACTCGTCTCTTTCTCTTTGTTCATTTAGTCATTCCTTTATTTATGTTGCAATGGACTCATATATATTTACTTTATAGTATGTTTTACAGTCAATACTTTGTTGTTTATTATTTTACTCTATTCTTTTACCTATGTTCGTAAGAGAAAATGTAGGTAATTGATTTCATGACTTTCTTCTTTTCTAATATAAGCAGTTAATGTTGCACTTATCATTTTATCTTTTTATGCAATGCTTTAGTTGTGTTTCACAAATGTTGATTTTTTAAAATATTCATCTAATTCTAATTCTAATTTCTCTTTTGATTTATTCTTGACCCATGCATCATTTGAAAGTGCAACTTTTAAGTATTTGGAGGACTTACCAAATAAATACTCATTATTGATTTATAATTTAATTCCATTATGAACAGAAATAATATTTCTTGTACTTTCATCATTTAAATATATTAAGGCTTATTTTATGGCCAAGAATATGGCTCATCTGAGTGATAAATCCACATACGCTTAAAAAGAATGTCAAGTAGGGGATACGACAAGTATCCTAAATGTCAATCAGGTCAAGTTGGTCTTCACTATTCTTCAAGTCTTTCACTGCCTTATTGATTATTTTGTCTACCTGTTCTGATAATTAGTATTGTGGATTTATCTGTTTTTTAAAAATTCTATCAGGTTTTGCTTCATGCATTTTGAGCTCTGTTCTTTTATTTTATTTATTTTATGGCCAGTGTTTGCTCTAGATTTTAGAATATACACATGTAATTTTTCACAGTCTACCCACAACTTCATGTATAGGTAGTATAAGAAACACAGTAATATACTTACATTGTCCCCTCCTGATATTTTGTAACAATGTTTGTGCATTTTCATTTTGCATGTATTATAAACCCTATATTGTATTATTAATTACTCAATTATCTTTATCTCTAATATTACGGTTACACATATGCTTTACTGCTTGATATCCCACTGGTCATGGAGGTTATATTAATTTGGATTCAGTCTTTTTTCTCATCATGCTTCATTTTTTGTAAAATCTATTGCTATATCTCCGAGTTTACTCGCTTTTTCTTCTTTAGTGTCTAAACTTCTTTTAATATAATATAATGTATTTTTTAATTTAAGATATTATTTTTTTATCTCTAGGACTTCCGTTTTGTCTTTTGAATATCATCTATTTCTCTCCTCATCATGTATACATTTTCCTTTGTATCTTTGAATATATTAATGATATTTATTATATAAGTTTTAAAGTCTTGTCTAATCATTTCACCATCCTCACTATTTTCTGGTTATTTCTGTTGATAGCTACTATTTTTACTCCTTGTTATGGATTATAGCTCTCTATTTCTTTGCATATTGACAATTTTTTAATTGGATACCAGGTATTGGAATTTTACATTTAGCTACAGAAGTTCGTTGTATCCCTTTAAAAAGTACTGAGTTTTGTCTCGGTACATGGTTCAACTACCTGTAGATGTGTTTGATTTTTTTCAAGGCTCTTTTTAAAGTTGTTTGTTCATTTTTGTTTCTAATAGTGGCTCTAGAGCAGCCTTTATTCTGGGTCTAATTAAACCTCTTTCTGAAGGCATATTGTTGAGGACTCTACCCAGTGCCCCAGGTAATTCAAGATCTTTACAATGTAGGAAAACAAATTGTTCCCAGCCTTGTTTGATCTCTGAGAATTGTTCATCCCACTGATTCTTGGTGGTTTTTTGCTCATCTGTGAAGGTTTCCTCTCACATGTGCACATCAGTAGCAAGACAGCATCATTTACAAACCCCATGGAAGATTTCAGGTGCTGTTTCTGTGAAGCACCATTCTTTTTCTTATTTTACCCTGGAATTTCTCAGTATTCCTGAATTCTGATCTCTTCCACTTCAATTCAGGTACAACTGCTGGGATGCGTTTCAATTCTTCCTACCAGGGCTGTGGCCTGGAAACTACTTCCAAGTAATTAGGTGGGCAATAGTAGTATCTACTTTATTTATTTCCCTTCCTCAGGAATCACATTTGCGTGGTGCCTTTGTGTAAAATTGAAAAATTGTGGTTTCATATCCTTTATTTAGATTGCTAGTTGTTTACAGTAAGGGTCTAATTACTGTAGTAATTACTCATTTATAAGTAGAAACAGAAGTTTTATGTAGTTCATCATCTAATGTGGTTTATTTAGAAATAAAGAACAAAAATTTTAATTATAAATTCATCTAACAAGCCAAATCACCCAGACAACACAAAACTAAAATTTGTAAAAATATTTGAATAACATTAAATATTGTGTCATATTGTACCAAAGAGTGTTTCATCACTTTTATTTACATTAAATAAACATTTTAATTAACACCTTTTCATTATAATTGGTTTAAAGCAAGCTAACCATAATAAATGAATAACGGAACCCATTGAAACAGTTTTTTTCAATATTCCAGTTTGCTTATTTTCTCTCAAAATTATTTTTACACATAGAAACATAAGGAGAATTGCAAATGTATGCATTTCCAGAAAGTGTTCTAATATTATTATATTTTGTTTTGAATACAACATAATAATTTAGACATGGCAGATTTTTAAAAATCATCAGCCACGAATATTGAAAAATTTACGTGTGATTCTGTATGTTATGTGGTTTTTAACATGTCTGAGGTTTTAATAAGCAGTTTTGGCCAGGGATGGTGGCTCACGCTTGTAATCCCAGCCTTTTGTAAGGCCAAGGCAGGAGGAATGCTTGAGGTCAGGTGTTTGAGACCAGCTTGAGCAACATAGCGAGATCCTGTCTCTACAAAAAATAAAAACAGCCGAGCACAGTGTCACACATCTGTAGTCCTAGCTACTTGAGGTCCAAGGCAGGAGAATCACTTAAGACCAGAAGGCTGAGGCTGCAGTGAGTCGTAATCCTACCACTGCACTCCAGTTTAGGCAACAGAGCAGACTTTGTATCAAAAAAAAAAAGAGGAAATGGTGTTTTCCTCAGGTTTTCTACAGACTTTGAAACTCCTTTTGTCCTAATTATTTTACCCTTAAGATTATAACTCAAATGTAGTTATTTTTTTTAAATCATTGAATAAAGTTTTCATTTATACTTTCTTTAAAGTAATAATTTTGAAGAATATTTTAAAAATAAAAAAATCCAATGTCATGGAGATGTTGCAAGATTTAATGTAGTCTATTGCATCCTGGCAGATATAAGAGCTTCTGTCCCCTTATTTATAAGGAAGACATTTTGGGACACTATATTGCCAAGCCATGATGCATTTCAACATGATCTCTAAAAATTTCTGGGCAAAAAGGTTGCAATGAAAGATTTTCTTAAACCATATTCGCCATAGTACAACACTGTTGTATCAGAGTAAAGAGCAAAATTAATTTGGGAATTTATTTTTACCATTGATGTCTTTACCCTCAAAATGAGGGTAATAGGATCTTCCTACTTCTCAGATTTTAATGGAAATGTCCTCATGACAGCCTGACTAGAACATTAAAGATGACATGTTACAAAGGTGAAATTTTTATCTGCCAATACACTATGCTCCAGGAAGGAACACTGTCTGTGATCCTTAAACAAGGATGACTATTTCCACTACTGTGTTTCCAAAATGTCATTTCTATGATTAGTATTCTCATTCACTACACTTTACCTTCCTAGTAGTATTGAAGATAAAACATATTACAGTGGTAATTTCCAGATAATTTACTTTGCTGAGATTCAAGATAAAAATAAACTCTACCTTATTAGCCTCCATCCTAGCAGCAGGGTAAAGAAATACAGCCACAATGCCACAGTGTGTAGTAATAAAACACTGTATTGTTTCAAAAGTGGTTTCCAAAGTTCAGGGAGGGAAATATACGAAATAAAATTATAGTTTTTAAAGAAAAAAGAAACAAAGCATATACAAAACCATCTCAGTCACAATCCTTCGCGTGGTCTCCGTGTTGTATGAAATAGGTAAATACGCCTCGCCTCTCATAGTGGCTTTCTTTGGTGTGTCACCAAGCAATGTGTAAGCAAAGCACTCAAAATATGTTTCTTCATTCGTTGTCAAGTAAGATAAAGTGCTGAAACACACTTACAGACATGTAAGTCCAGATCAAAGCCTGATAAATATTATGAAAATTAACAATGAAATTTTTTTTCTTTATTTAACCAATAATTTTGGTCAATATTATTATATCTTAGAAGTAGAAAATCCTAGGTGTTTAAGACTCAGAGTATCCAAAACCTGTCCTACAGACACACATTTGAAAGGACACATATGGGAGAAGATATCCTGGATAAATTATCCAGGATAATTTATAATATGCTTCTTATAATATGGCTCTATATAACTTTGAAGTAAAACCCATAATTCCAGTGAGCTGAACTTACTTGTATGAGTTCACAAGTACTGTATTGCCTAAAAATTCTAAGTAAGAATAAGAAAATTCTAAGTAAAAGTAAGCTGAGATACTCTTTGGTCTATTTATTTTGGAAGCCAATATATAAAAGTAATATTTTTTTTCTGTTGTGTATAAAAAATTGAAGAAACAAAATAAAATTGTGACAACTCTGAAACCAGGCACCTAGGATATAGTATCATGAATTTTATTTGCTTTTTAGCTTGCTCATTGCAAAATAGATCTTCCTATGAAAAAGGAAATACTCTCTGCAAAGTCAGTTGATGAAAATGAATTACAGTATTTCACAGATGTTTTCAATTTAAAATGGAATATTATGATGGTGCTAAAACTTTTTACCACCATTACTGTAATTTGCATACCATTACTGATGATGTTTATATTTTGATAGTTGAAATGTTTTTGAGCTCATCATAACCTAGTACTAATGATTCTCAGTACATCTGTGGAAAACCAACATCTAGGCAGTTTTCTCCAGCTCAATCATCTTTGATGAGTTTGTACTGTCTTCTAAAATATTCAGCTAGGATTTTGTATGTACTTAAAGATTCTGCTTTATGTATACACAATCTGAAACTTAAATGGAAGGTAACAAATCAAAATTATGTGGCAACATATGAATAAACTTGTATTCTGACATTTGTTTTAATAAAAGCATTTTAGTGAACTTATGCTATATTTTCAGGATAGCCAGATCATTTTATTGCTGAATTCAAGAGGAAACTGATGCTTTGTATGCAAACAATGAAGTAAATTACTCTTAATTCAGAACCTGAGGTTTAGAAAAAATAAAAATGCTGCAGGTGCCAATAAAATAAAGCGCTATAGGAAATAATTTCAAATGTAAAATATTTCAGGAAAGACATTATCAGTAAAATTTATGTAGAAATTAAAGAGAGAAACCAAAGGTAACAAACAATTAACAGATGTATTTTTCATATAAATTACCATAAAGTGGAAAACTGAGGTCTCAGTGCATGGTTTCATTACCCATTACTTTAAAAATAAGGATAATTTTCAAATGCCTCTGAACTGTTCTGAGTAAAACTACACTTTTCAATTTCCTATTTTCCACATGACCATGAGAATGCCTTACCATTAACCACACACATAATGGTAACGGTAAAATTATCCAAGTAATATAACCCATTATGGTGCATTTTCTGTATAAACAAAGTTTCACTTGCATGAACCTTCTACACCAGTACCATATGGGTATGTGCTTAAAATCTCTAGTTTAAACAAGTCATATATGAATTACTTTTCATGTAAAAGAAGTTTATAGGGAGCCAGTAGAAAGCTAGTGTGTCAGCTTCCCAGTAAAATGAGGAATCCAAGGTCTCATCGATTTGCTTTATCCCCAGTATATTGTTTCCCTAGTGTCCTGTTTTATTAATTTATTTTAGTGTAGTTAGAAAACTACATTACCTTCTCAATAAATGTTTAAATGTACAATGCATTACTGTTAACCATAGATACAATGGTGTACAGCGTATGTCTAGAAGTTACTCATCTTGCCCAACTGAAACTTTATGCCCATTAATTAGTAAGTGCCCTTTGCCCCGACAACCACCATTTCACAATTTGAGTCTATGAGTTTGAGTATTTTAGATACCTCATATAAGTGGAGTTATGCAATATATTTTTTTTTTCTGTGACTGGCCTATTTCTCCTAGCATAACATTTTCAAGGTTAATCTATGTTGTCACATACCTTTTCTCTTTAAAGGCTGCATAGTATTCCATTGTGTGATTTTAGGGGGGGTGTGTATGACATTTTATCCATTTATCTGTGGATGGATATTTACATTGATACCACAGCTTGGCTATTGTGAACAGTGTTGCAATGACCATAGGAATGCTATTATTTCTTTGAGGTCGTGATTTTAATTTTTTTGAACTAATTCCCAGAAGTGGGATTGCTGGATAATATGTAGTTCTATTCTTAATGCTTAGAGAAATCTCCATGGTGGCTGTACCATTTTTCATTTCCACCAACAGTGTGCGAGGGTGCCAATTTTTCCACATCCTTGCCTACACTTATCACCTTGTTTTAATAACTATCCTGACAGATGTGAATTCATAGCTCATTGTGGTTTTAATTTACATTTTATCTCATGATTAATGATGTTGAACATTTTTCATATATCTATAAGCCATTTGTATATCTTCTTTGACAAATGTCTATTCAAGTCATTAAACTATTTTTAAATTAGGTTATTTGTTATTTGTTTTTCAGTTGTAAGAGTTTCTTATATTTTTTGAAGATTAACTCCTTATCAAATAAATGGTTTACAAATGTTTTCTCCCCATCTGTAGGTTCCCTTTTCATTCTGTTTCTTTTGCTGTGCAGAGCTTTTTAGTTTCATATAGTTTTACTTGTTTATTTTTGGTTTTGTTGTCTGTGCTTTTGGTGTCATAGCAATAAAATAATTGCCAAGGCCAATGTCATGAAGGTTTTCCTCTATATTTTCTTCTAGTCTTTGTACAGGTGCAGGTTTTGTGTTTAAGTCTAATCCATTTTGAATTAATACTTGCATATGCTATAAGACAGAGGTGCAATTTCATAGTTTTGCATAGAGATATAGTTTTATCATAATCATTTGTTGAAGAAACAATCATTTTTCCATCGTATATTCCATTAGCCCCGTTAAAAATCATTGGCCATATATGCATGGATTTATTTCTGTGTTTTGTATTCTGTTTCACTGGTCTGTATGTCTGTTCTTTGCCAGTACTATATTGTTTTTATTACTATAGCTTTGTTACATATTTTGAAATCAGGAAATGTGATGCCTTCACCTTTATTCTTTCTCAAGATTTCTTTGATTATTCATGCTTGTGATTCTATCTGAATTTAGAAATTATTTTCCTATTTCTGTAAAAATGCCATTGTGATTCTAACAGATGCTACATTGCCTCTGTAGATTACTTTGGCACACATGGATATTTTAACAATATCTAGTCTTCCAATCTATGAACCTGGGATGGCTTTCCAATCCTTGGTGGTTTATCTTGTTTAGTTTCTGTCATCAATGTTTTTAGGTTTCAATACACAAATCTTTCACCTCCTTAATAAGTTTATTTCTAGATATTTTATTTTTCCTAAACTCTAAAGGTATTTTTAAAATTTAATTTTCAAATAGTTTGTTGTTATTATATAGAAATGCAACTAATTTTGTATGTTGATTTTGTGTCCTGTCACTTTGCTGAATTGGTTTAATATTTTTTATGCATTTTTTCTTTATGATGTCTTTAGGGTAGTATATGCTTATATATACAATCATGCCTTCTATATTCAGGGGCTTCCTACATTCAGGTTTTTTTTCTCTGATTTGGAAGCCTTTTATTTCTTTTCCTTGCCTGATTGTTCTGTCTAGGACTTCCAGTACTATGATTGAATAGAAGTGACAGGAGTAGGTGTCCTTGTCTCATTTCTGATATTAGAGAAAAAGCTTTCAGTTTTTTACTGTTGAGTCTAATGTTAGCTCTAGACTTTTCATATATGCCCTTTTTAATGTTCAATGTTAATGTATGCCTTACATACCTAATATGTCAAGAATTTTTATCATGAATGGATGTTTAATATTGTCAAACTCTTTATCTATTGAGATGATCATGTGACTTTTATTCTTTATTCTAGTAATGTAATGTATCACATTAATTTATTTCTGTATGTTGACATATTCTTGTATCCCAGGGATAAATCTCTCTTGGTTATAGTTATAATCTTTTTAATGTGCTGTTGGAATAATTTTGTGAGTATTTTATTGATGATTTTTGTATTGATAATCATCAAGGATATTTGCCTGTAATTTAATTTTCTCATGGTTTTGTCTGGCTTTGAATTAGTATAATGCTGGCCTCATTTAATAAGTTTGAAAGTGTTCTCCTCCAATTTTTTGTATGAGTTTGAGAAAGACTGGTGTTAGCTCTTCTTTAAATATTTGGTAGGATTCACTAGTGAAGCCATCTGGTCCTATTTTTCTCTGTTGGGAGGTTTTTCATTATCAATTCAATCTTCTTACTAGTTATACATCTGTTCAGACTTTCTATTTTTTCATACTTTAGTTTTGGTATACATTTTAGGAATTTATTCATTTTTTTTCTAGGTTATCCAGTTGGTAGGTGAATACTTGTATACAGTAAAATATTACTATGATCTTTTTTTATTCCTGTGGCATCAATTGTAATGTTTCTTATTTCATTTCTGATTTTATTTATTTGTGACAAGAGTAGGTGTCCTTGTCTCATTTGTCATTTATCTTTTTGCTCTTCGTCTAGCTAAAAGTTTTTCGACTTTGTTTGTTTTCAAACAAACTCTTTATTATGCTGATTTTTTAAAACTGTTTTCTATTTTCTATTTTGTTTACTTCTAATATTTTTTATTTCCTTATTTCTGCTAACTTTGGGCTTTTTTTTTTTGTTTTTATTTTTGTTTAGTTCCTTGCAAGTAAAGTTAGATTGTTCATTTGAGATCTTTCTTCTTTTGTAATGTATGCATTTATTGCTAATAACTTTGTTTTTTTGCTGCAGCCTATAAGTTTTAGTGTGTTGTGTTTTCATTTTCATTTGTCTTAAGGTAACTAATTTCAAATTTCTTTTTTGATTCCTTTTTTGACTCAATGGCTATTTACAAGGTCCCTATTCTTTGTTAAGATTACCTCATGCTTAAATAAGATGTGAGTGCAACATTAAACCTACCTGCATTGTGGAAAACAGGCAAAGAAAGAGCAAGTGCCCTCTATTCTTTAACAAGATTTTCTAAAGTTCAACATAATATTATCCCTTATGTTTAAAGGGTTAGAATGTAATCTCATCATTGTACCCAGTTGCAAAGTATTTTGAGAATGTGCAAGAATTTAAAATGGAGTTACGATACCAAATTTTAATGGGAGACTCAATATGGGAATTGCAACTAATAGTCTCTGCCACAGACCAAATTTTATTTTTATCATTCAGGGTCAAAATTTGGGGACTAGAATGTTTTGTCTCGACTCTGTCTAGTCACATCATAGAGTCAAAACGTAGAGTTTCGTGACAAAAAATATAGGATTGACTTTAGACTTTGTAAAGTGCCAAAGATACTTTACTGAATGGTACAATTCCCTTCATATATGAGAAATCTAAAAACAGAGACATGGAAGAGCTTAATCACTTGAAATTCATTGTTTTGTGGTTTAAATATGCTACTTTCTAAGTAAACAGAGTCATTTACTCTAAAACTAGTACATGGACTTTCTGTACTTCTTTAACCAGTTTTTTTATAATGTCATTTCATTTTCTTCAAAATGTTTTTCCTTTCTTTTTTAATGCTTTTCTTTTTTAAAAAATACATAGCTCTCCTCTTGCTTATCTCCATTTACAATGTTCAGGTTGAGCACATGTGTCACTTTAAGCTTCCCAGGAGGATATTAAATAGTATTTAAGAACAAATCTTGGAAATCAGGCACTCTGGTTTCAAATTCTACCTCTCTCCCTTAATAGTTATCTTTCATAAAAACTTCAAGCTTTGTTTTCTGGATCTATAAATTGCAATTATCATTGTCCCTACTATTTAAGGAGATTCCATAGTTTAACCAAAATAATGATTAACAGTACTTTGCACTGTTAAGATTTCTATTACGATTTCTTTTTAATTTGGTGTTAAGTTTGCTATCTTGAGAGCTCTAGCTCTGCTCTGGCCAGAAATTCTTAGATGTATATTAGATGTATATGGTGTACCTTTAATGGAATACTTCTTTATCCTGACAGATGGCCTAATACCTAAGTGTCCAACCTGTGACCTAGTATGCTTTCATAGGAATCTATTAGATAGCCTTGCGACTCCTGCCTGAACTATGTCCAGTTATTCCTACTAAGATACCCACTCATTAAGAAAAAGCCCTGTAAAAAGATTGGGTCCAGGTGTGTGCATGTCAGGTGAGACACAATAAGGATGTAAAATCAAATGCATAAAACAGGAGAAATTTATTACTTGTAGGTCCAGAGAGATTAGAGGTGCCCATGGGAAGCCAGTGGACCATCTGGAGGTGTCAGGGAGCCACCAGTGCTAGCTAACTGGTAAGGGCATCATAATTAATTATCCATCCCACATCTGGTTGCCAGTGAATACTAGTGGGAGGTGGAGAAGGAGTTACAACAGAAAGTCTGGAAACATAAGGTGAGGACTTGTTCTCTGTGAATATTTATGTATAATTGCTCTCTAAAATACTTTAAATAAATTTATGTTACCTGGGGCCACCAATAGAGTCAATGTAGGAAGTCTGGCATAGTTGGTGGCAGTGTGTGAAATTTGGTAGGTGGACAATTCAATCAGGTGAGAACCTGGGGTACTATGGCAATTAGGGGAGAACGTGCAGTAAGATGGCAGTTAGGGCACAGTATCACCCTCCTAATTTAAATAATTGATCTTTTAATAGGTCACATTTTCATTTGATGAGCTTAGCCATCTGAGGGAAGTAGGACAGATTGAAGTTCTACAGTGTGCCTTATTCTAGTGCACACTACTGGACTGTCTGTGCTTTAAAGTGGGTCCACTGATCAAAATCAACAACTTTGATTTTGGGTGCTCCAACATAAATTACAATAGATTTTGTCAGACCAGCAATGATGGATGTGTCTGTGACACGGTGTGTGGGAAGACAGTAGGAGTCCCATGAGGAGTCACTTAAGAGTAAAGCAATACCTGATAGCTCCAGTGGTGACCAGTAGGGGGCTTAGGTAATTAAGATGACCTCATGAGCAAGGATCATCTCCCTTAGGCACCCTACCCTAGTGGGAACATCCCAAGTTTTGTTTGGGGACAGCTTTCCCAGTTATTCATAACTGTTTTAACTAAGGAAGGAGTTAAGGGTATTCTCTCCGGTAGGCCCAAATCTACAAAGGTTGAGGTGCCCTGGTGACCCAAAGTTATTTGAGCCCATGCTGCCAATGAGTATGGCACATCAGATTGATTTTGTTTTGTATTTTTCTATTGAGACAACATAGGCCTGTTTGGCAAGAGTGTCTGCAGTGTTGTTAAAGTGAGTCTCAGATGTATCACAGTTGTGTGCTGAGACACGTGACATGAAAATAGAAAGCATGGTTATAGTCACTTCCTGCCAAATGTGGGATCCCCATAGTGGCTTACTTTGTATTTGAAAGTTATGTTTTTCCCTTATCCCAACCATACAGCTAACCCATTTGCCACCTCCCAAGAACAGGTGAAAATTCTTAATTCGTGAAGGGCATGTTTTAGGGTGTCTTTAAGAACCAGTCATCAGTTGCAAGTTTGTCAAAGTGGGCTGAACTGAGGTTGCTTTCCTCCACCAGAGTGGTGTGTGCAGCCAATGGTGTGCTGCAGTGCTCCAGTGGGCCCCACTGCATACAACGGTGGCACTGTGATCAGTGAGGTACATGGTCTCCCAGGTTATACAGTTGGTTCCAAGGGACTCCCTAGCTAGCCAGACAGTCAAGTAGTAGAGACATCATCACCCATTCCTCAAAGATGGTGGGCAAGGGGCTGAGTATGGGGAAAGCTACATCCTCCTTTAATTTGTAAAGACCTTTTGGATTAGGTTTAGTTCTCTTCTGAAGATACCATTTCCATTTTAACAGAGGCATCTCTGGACTTGCTGAGCCCCTTCTGGGAAACATCTCTAACCCAGGGCATTACAGGAACTCATCACGTGCATGTAGCGTCATCAGCCATAGGTCAGTGGACACCTCTGTCTCTGATAGAGCCCGGGAGGCTGCCAAAATATAGTTTTCTAGAAAAGGATACAAAGTGGTTTGTGGTAGTCACCTGGTCCATAATCCCATGGGTAACCAAGAGTTGGCAAGTCGTGTCCACAGGCTCCAGGAAGCATAGTCTACAATGGTCAGTGATTCTGAACAAAAGTCAGACCATGGAGGCACTAGGGGCAGGGCCCGTTGTGCTGCTTGTTGAGCCAATTTTCATGCCCCAACTCTGGGGCTTTCCAGAGTGGAAGGAACTGAATCTGCATGTAACAGTGTAGATAAGTTTAAGGGGTAATGTGAAATGTGTAATGTGTTGTGGGTAAAGTGAGTAAAGGCCCAGAAGGTGTTATGTTTGAGTGTCTGAGATGGTCAAATTGTGAGTAAATGATATTTGACTGTAGGGGAGATTTCTCTACCTTTAGCTGCCTATATAGACCCCAGGAACTTTATTGAGGTGGCAGGCCTCTATATTTCATGGGGAGCAATGGCCCAACCTAGGTCCTGTACATATTGAATTAGAATATTTAAATCTTTTTTTTTACTGCCTCTCTAGAAGGCCCTTTTAATATCATGCCATGTACATAGTGCCAAACCTGGCAGTATTTTAATTTTGATTGTTAGAGAACTTGCTGGCAAAGGTTGTGGGCAATAGCTGGGCTGTTCAGGTATCCCATAGGAAGATGAGTGAACATGTATTATGCTCCCTTGAAGATGAAGGCAAATTGGCTTTGGGAATCTACTGAAATTGGAATGGAATAAAATCTATTGGCCAGACCCACTGCTGAAAAATGTGAACCAAGTGCCTTTTGGATACTTTCCATTAATTCAACAATGTCAGGAATGGGGGCCTTAATAGGTGGCACCTGGGAATTTAAATTACATTAATTTTTAGTCTCCATTCATTTGTGGTGACTTTTAATATGGGCCAAATTGGACTATTAGTGTAAAATAATGGGGACAATAACTCCTTCTGGTAATAGAATTAGTGGTCATAGCCCTTCTGTAGCTAGTTTTAGTAGTTACAGTGGTGTATTTACCACCTTGATGGGGGCTGGCAACTGTAGTGGGTCCTACTTGTATTTTCCCACCAGCAGTGCTATGAATTTAAATTTGTTCTAGCTGAAGTGGCAGTGAGCCAATGCATCAATCCCTATAATGAGAAAAGAAAGAGCCAGTGAAGCCACCATCACTAACAGAATTAATGAAAACATTTCTAATAGATGCAAAAATTAAGACGTGTTTCTCTTAAATAACCTTTCTGGCCATGCCCTGCAAATTGTATGTGGCATCTTTTGGGTGTAAGCTAAGATTTCCTAAGATAACAGAGACCTGGACACCAAGTGTCCAGCAGGACTAAGAACCCTTGGGAGTTACCCATATTCCAATGAACCACCAATGTTGTAAAAGGGTGATTGTCCTGAATGGCAGGACAAGGCCCAGGGAGGAGCCAAACTCCTATGGCAGGAAGTTGGGGATCACCAATCCTGAGGTTTGGGGAAGGGGGTTTGCTCCCCTTATCGTTTTAGAAGATTGTCCCCTTGGGATCCCTGAATGGACGCTTGGGGAGGACACTGCCAAAGCTGTAGTTGTGTTAAGTACATCTTTTTTCCTTCATAATTTAAAGTCAGGATGGCTTGTGATTCATTCATCTGGAATGTCCATATCCCTTAATTGACAGTATAGTGGCCATTCAGAGGGTTGTGGGAGCATTTCTAGATGAGGAGGTCTTGGCACCAGGAGGAGGGACATGGATTATATTGTCCTGTATTGGGGGCTTCTCTCAGTATTCAATAATTTGGAATCAGGGTGAGAGCTCCCCTCAAAACGTGCCAATAAAGCTCTACCCACTAATGCTTCTTGTTTGGTGTGTATAGTGCCTATCAAATTTAACAATAAGGCCTTATAGTTAGGAGGGGCATACTGATAAAGAAAGATCTGTGAGAATATATGCTTTAGCATCTACTATATGTATGAAAGGTTTTATTTTGGAATTTATGTAGATGTATAGTACATGGTTTCTGATATCAGTGAGCTTGTAATATATAAAGTCAATGATAAACACATAAATACTGTATAAGGAACTATGACAGTGATAATAGGGTTATAAAAATTGCTATGAAATATTGAAGAAAATAGTTTATTCCACCTTAGAGAAGACTTCAGGAAAAGTTTATTGATATTTTATGTATTAGTATAATGGTGCTGTTCCTCATCATCATAGAGTGTCCTGATTTTTCATTCTTTTTTTTTCATAGAGTTGGATTTATATTGTGTAAGCTACAATGACCATAAAAGTAATTAACCCATTTAGTGACTAAGTGAATGACCCTGATTTCACTCATCAGAGAATTGCTGTACATGCTGAAGCCTGCATTGTTTCATTATTTTCCCTTGTCCTCATATTGCTGTTAAGCTTTTCACACTTGCTCTTAAAGCCCCACCCAGTAATTTTGTAGGACTCTACTGAATCTTCAGGATTTTTATTTTATTTAACCTGAATATGCAAAACAATCCCTCCTCTGACTCTCTTTTTGTTTGTCTGTATGTTTGCTGATATGAAAGCTCTTATGGAATTTAGAAAAATCCAAGGATGAAGCTGTCATCAGTTCATACATAAAGTGGAGATTGTGACAATGTCAGAGTGGGTATTATGAAATTAATTTTTGTATTTTTAAATGCTTAGCAAACCACTTGTCTCATACTAGATTCATAATATATGTTTCTTTATTATGGATAAAATAATGGAGAAAATCCTATGTCTTGTAATGTAGTGTACACTTTTCAACACATATTGAATGACAAGCAATAGTGATGGTCTACATCTCAGGGCTAGAAGTTGAGGTAAGGATATTAACAATATATTTTGTTGCTTAAAGTTAGACAGGTCCTACTAAAACAGGAAGATATTATTTCACAAAAACAACTTTAGAATTTTAAATTGACAGAATTTTCTATGGGAAGATATTAATAAATATTAGCTAATGCAGACAGAAATAAAAGTTCCTTAATGTTTATGGACTATATTTTCATGAAATGTATATACGGCCAATGTCACAGCATTCATTTGTCATCATTTCAACTTTTCCATTAAAAAATTAAAAGCATCAATATATGCACTTTCTATATTATTATATAACAGTAATAATGGCAGTTAGAAAGAACTGCCAGCTACTGTTAGATCAATATTTTTTGGTAATTAGATTCATCACACAGTGACTGGTCTGGGTTGCTTATAACCTGCTTTCATACAACTTTAAATTATTTGTTCTTAAGCTGAGTAAATTTCAAAAGTCATACACAGCATTTGCTGCAAGTATCTCTGAAGAATATGATAACAACAATTGAAATAATGGTCATGCTATAATTTTATTTTATGAAAGGGAAGTATACCTAATTGTAACATATTTTCCCCCAAACTATATGTGCCTCAACTGTCAATCAAATGGATTCCTTACCACTGAATCTAATGAAATATATAAAGCTTTTTTTTTTAAAGCATTTGATTGACAGGAAAGTTTGTCGTACATAAATCTGATACTAGAGTTGAGTATAACAAGGGTTTTGACTGACAGGTTAACAACTGAACTATCCACCCTTATTTTGTGTTGCTCTATAACATTTCCAAAATTGAATGAAGGATTCCAGGATTCTAATTTCTACAGAAGATTTTTTTTTCTTTTTTTTTTAAACCAGGGATCTTTTTTTTTTTTTTTGAGGGAGACAATAGA
Source organism: Homo sapiens (assembly GCF_000001405.40). Lineage (NCBI taxonomy): Eukaryota > Metazoa > Chordata > Mammalia > Primates > Hominidae > Homo > Homo sapiens. The sequence continues at coordinate 194,324,163 of NC_000002.12, forward strand.
TTAAAATCAGAACAGATTAAAATGGTAAGGCTAAGATGAAACTACTTTGATTATACTCTTTTTGGAAAATTAATTTTAAATCATTTGATATGTTTTAGTGTCAGAATAACTACAAAAAGAAAAGGAGCTCTTAAGACAACAAAAATAACTGCCAGATTAATAAGAAAAATAGTTACAATGCTATGTAGATTTTTTAATATAATAATTTATTTTTATGATTTATTAGGTAGTCAACTCATTTTAGTTACAGTTCAGATTTTAGTTATAAGAAAACAGTGGAAGTTTACAGGGAAAAATATATAGCAACTGCAAATATACCATTTCTGATATTGTAAATTCAGTTTCATTGCAGATGCTTTCATTTTAGATTTAGTTTTATTACAGATAGAATGAGACTATGTTTCATTTTATATTCAACTATGTTCCAAAACAAGAATAAAGGTTAGATTTTATATATCAAAGTAAACTTTATAATAATCCCACATTGTTTGTGTAAAAACCTTTCAAATGTAATAATTATATTTTAACCAACAATTGTGTTTTTATTTGACATAACTGAATTGACTGGTTTAAATTACTTATAATAATGAATAGCCCATTTATGGCAAAACTTAAAAGAATAAATGTTCTTAGAAAGAATAAAAAAAAACAAAGGGAAATGAAAGAACTCTGTGGCAAATAAGATACCAAAGATAAAATTAATTTTCAAAGAACTAGCATAAGCTTTGAAGTTGTATTTTAAAATACAACAAAATATTTCAATTAAAATATATTGTTTTGTTTTTCTTCACATAGCACTCATGTTTTCTATTTTTGCAATAGTGGAATTTATTAGAAAAGGATTGAAGTGTTTCAGACCCACTGTGTCACCGAAGATTAAGTTCAACTGCAAGTAGCAATAAGCCCTAAGTAACAGTGGTTTACAGAAAATACTCAAGCTGGGCTCTGACTCTGTGAAACTGCAATCATTGGTCTACCTATAAACTCTTCAAGTATTTAAATAAACTACTAATAATGGCTCAAATTTTGCTTAACCCTGAATTCAAACATGCTTACTTCCAACAATCATATGCCCCTCAACTATCCCCATTGTTTTGCACTGATAGATACATGTTTATAATTGCTTACCTTAAATTTTGGTACTCAGAACTAGCAAAGATAGCCTTCACTCAAATATAACCCTGCAATATAAGCCAGAAAAAATAAGTATATATATTCCCAGAAATACTCTTAAGGCATCATTCCAGTTATTCCCAGAAATACTCTAATGCATCATTCCAGTTGTTTGGTTATATAATAGGGGTTCATTAAATAATTGTTAAGTGAATGAATGAGAGTTTGTATCCTAATGCAAAAAACAAAATCAAACAAACAAAACACCCAAATTAACATGGGACTTTAAAAAGCAACCAATGACAAATAAGGTACTACCAGCCAAATGAAAGAATAAACAGTTTTTATTCTTGTATTAAAATATTGTCCCAATGTATTTCAAAATTGCTGAAAGAGTAGATCTTAAGAGTTCTTACCACAAAAAAGTATATAAGGTAATACATGTATTAAATAGCCTTATTTAGTCATTCCATACTGGATGCACATTACAAAACATCATATTGTGCCCCATAAATATATACAATTATTATTGATCAGTTAAAAACAAAAACCCTGTCACACTACCCAGAAGCAGGATGGATAAAACTCACCTCTTGTTTCCTCACTGATCCAAAGCTGTTTTTTTTTCCTTTACTCTCATTCCTTAAGAAACTCACCTTAATGCAGGTTTTTATCTGGAATTATGGGATTAAAATATTTTAATAAGGAGCAGGATGAAAACAATATGAATAATCATATTCCAACACCCAAGGGATCATCATAGATGAACATGAAATTCTAGGGAACACTGACCAGGGAAGAGAGAGAGAGCTTGAGGTATTTATTGCCTCCATTCCTACTCTATCTCACCTCAAACATGACAGTGGCCAGGTTTGTGGGTAGAGGTGCTTTGCAGAGGCCTTCCTTCCAGCTTCCAAGGTTTCTCCAGCCTCCTTTAACACTGTCCCTTCCCTCTTTGCCTTCAAGTTGGGTATTGGTATCAGCATTCCTCTGCTACTAATCCCTGGAGAGTTTACCAGCCTTGTTGTTCTCTTTAACTCTGCTTACATCTGTGTAAATAAACTCTTCATTAAACTATCCTTAGTTAAACCCCTGGAGCATGCCATCTATGTCTTGCTAAAACCAGTTTGCACAGTTTTTGATGTATGCATTTTCTTAAGTATTTCTTGATGCCATGATTTCTCATGTGTATTTCACTTCTCTCTTTCTAACGATTTTTAAAATAGCAGTTATTTTTCTGTGTGCAATGAAATAATTGGATATGTATTTTTTAAAAAGAACACTAGAAATGACAATGACTAAACAATGTCTCCTGGGAGTGATAAGAAAAAAAAATTGTAAACTATCCTTCTAAGAAGAATACTGCTATTGTCAAATGAATTATTTAGAAAAATATATTCAGCAGTTTTCACATGATTTAAAGCCTCTCTAATTCCAGGAAAAAAGAAATAAAGGTGGATTTTGGTGTTTATGTATATGGGAGAAGCATGAATATATAAGTGGGTGCAGAAAGATCTTCACTAATAATTTAATGAACTGTGTTAATTTTAATTTCATCAAAATCTCAGGTTACTTGATTCTTAAAAGAAGAATGAAAGTCCCATATATTGCAAAAGCATTTATGACAAATTGAGTACTTAATGAAGTTCTTTGAGACCCATAATGAAGCATATGATTGAATTTTAAACTATGAGAAATTATAAAATAAAATTGTGTTTTTAGTTTTCCACATAACATTTATTTCAAAATATCTGTTATATGGGAATGTCTAAATTTCTTCTAAGACTTTGTAATATTTTTGAAGGTTTTTTTTTGTAATCATTAAGAGACCCCCATGTTTTAAGAGAGTTTTATATTACTAACTAGAAAATTATAATTTTAGAATACATGCCTATGGATTATTGTAGCCAATTTCTTGAAGTTTATATATTATATTCTTTAACTTTATAACCTTTAAATGGTGTTTAATTAATTCTAATAACTTTTGTTTTGTACTGTATGTAGTTACGATGGCAGCGGCGGCGTGTCTGAAGCTGCCGCTGCCATGACATGGGCTGTAGTGGAGAGGTGCGGCCAGGACTGCAGTGGGGAGGTGTGGCCGGGGCTGCATGTTCCACGGAGCCAGCAGGAGCTGGGAACAGGCGGAAGCTCACCCCCTTCCGAGTTGGAGGGGCAGGAATCCTGCCCTTCTGGGTGTCGCTGCAGTCATCCAACCACGACTGCAAACCGGGGGCACCTCTGCACTCTCTGGTACCTGGTAACCCTCCTGTGCCCGCACAAGCTCGGAAGTACCTGATCCTGCTGCTGGGCCTCTCCCCGCTCCTGGTACCCACTCCTATTTCGGAGCAAAATTGTAGCCAAGACCAGGTGCTGTCACAACCTAGAAACGTGTGTGTGTGCTTGGCCCCCTCCGGACTTTGGGCGCTGAAAGCACCAGAGGGAGGCAGAAGGTAGGCTAAGGGCTGCGTGGTGCAGGCCTGCAGGCACCCCTCGGCAGGAACAGCTTGAGAGCCATGGGAACCGTGGATGAGAGGTTAATTGTCGTACGAGGCAGACAGGCTTCTGGGTGGAAAGGGACAGGTCACCAGTGAAACCCCATCTTCAGGCCAGGGACGGCCTGATGCCTGGGGTCTAGGCTCCCAGTTACTGGGACCATAGTGAGAACTTATGGTGCTTTTTCCCGGCCCACCAACAGCTGCCCATTGACCAATCAGCACACACTTCCTCACCTCTGAAGTGCGCAGAAACCTGGGACTCAGCCCTACTTAGTGAGACTACAAGATGACCTGCCTGTGGAGAGGAGTTACCTATTTTGGGTCTTCTCTCAGCTGAGAGCTGAGCAGGCAATGGGACAACCAGCCTGCAGAGAGGAGCCTGTGTCTCTCCTCTCAGCTGAGAGCTGAGCAGGCAATGGGACAACCAGCCTGCAGAGGGGAGCCTGTGTCTCGCCTCTCTGCTGAGAGCTAGACTCTGGTTGGGAAGACCTGACTGTGAAGAGGTGCTACCCACTGCAAGTCTCCTATGAGCTGTTCTGTCACTCAATAAATCACCTCTTCGCCTTGCTCACCCTCCACTAGTCCATGTACCTCATTCTTCCTGGATGTGGGACAAGAACTCGGGACCTGCTACATGGTGGAGCCAAAAGAGATGTAACAAAAATGGCTGAAACACGCCCCTTTCTCTCCATGTTGTGGGTGACAAGAAGGAAAGAAGACCTGTGGTCCTTTGGGAAGCCCAGACCTAGGAGCTCCTCGAGCCACGGCTGTGACAAGCTCTTTGGTGCTCTGCGATTCCTGGCATCTCCTACCTTCTGTGCCAGCTGTGGAAGCAGCTTGCGGTATGCTTGGTCCAGAGCAGCCTCTGAGGGAGCTGGTGCCCGTGTGGGAGCCTGGAGCTTCCCAACCTGCTGCAGCCACTGTGCCTGGCTGTGTGCAGTGGCCGGACCCCAGGCTTCCCTTTTCACACACCCTTGCCGCTCCACACCTGGCTCACCCTTGGCAGGCATGAGATCCAGGCAGGTAGCACAAGCCAAGTGCAACCTGCCAGGCCAAGTGGGAGGAACAAGGCCAGCAGGCCCAAGCAAAACTTGGGCAAAGGCACCACCAGCCACAGAGATTTATGGTTGGAAAAGCAATACCCCGAGAATCCTGTGACAGTTATATACATAATTTTTTCTTTAAAATAAACTATTTCACATCAACATATGTAGAAATATATTTGGGGCTAATTTTGTTTATTGGGTTCCCAATTTTTCTACATAGATATTCCTAATAAGTTTTGTGTCAATGGGAAATGCATCTTAGGAGCATTTCCTGCATGCATCTTAGGAAATGCATGCAGTCACTAGGAGCATGAAAAAGGAAGATATTGATGCATTGATGCTGGTCATTAAATAATTATTATTACATTGACTTTAAAAAATTCTACTCCTCTATAATTTCAATTTTAAGAAATATTCAAAATTCTATAGTGAACAGAAATTTATTTTCATTAGATTGAGTAAACTAAATACTCATAAAGTGATATAATAAGAATTTTAAGAAATGGACAGCTCATGCCTGTTAAGAGCTTACACTTTTGGAATGTTGATTTCAGAGAACAATTTGAGTTTAGTCGTTATGGACGTTTTTCTTTGATAAATCCTTTGGAGTGGGACAGAGCAGAGAAATCTTCTTGCTTAAAAGACACAGAAATCAATGGTTGGATATCAGAATCATTTCTGGGAAAGATCGCTTCCAGCCATTTTTGCCTTTTATCCACAGTCTCCAATGCTACACCATAGTTTCTAGACTCTATTGTTTTCTGCATCCAGGTAGGCATCAGAATCATCTAAAGTACTGCTTCTCAAAATGCTACATACACAGGAAACACCTGTGTCTCTTGTTAAGATGTAGATTCTGACTCAGTATGTCTAGAATGTGGGTGAGAATTTTGAAATTCTGAAAAATTCCCAAGTCAGACTACACAGTCTACAGATTATATTTTGAGGAGCAAAGACTTAGGGCATCTATTAAAAAAGACTGTTGGACTCCCTAGTTAGAATTCTGTTTCAGAACATCCATGGGTAGGCTAGGAAATCTTTATTTTTATGGCAAGCACTGTTTTACTATTTCCACTAGTCTGCTTTCTATTTAAAAATTAAGGCCTCAGATTCTCTAAATAAAAATTAAAGGTCTATCATCTTTTTGTTATTTAAATTTCCAATCACTTACTCAAAGGTCTAATCATAGAAATGTCTCTGATAGACCAGAAACATAAAAGTTTCATAAGAAGCACAACTTGCACACTTATCTATGTACAAGAGATAATAGATTCCAGGAATCAGACAGCATACATTTTAATACTGGAAATCTCACACAGGGTTGGATGCAATTTTAATACCCATGCTTTTAGATATAGCTAAGCATCAAGGTTACTTTAAGGAATATATAAACAAAATAAATGCTGACTAGTTTTACAGAGCTGCAAAAACACTATTTTAAAAATTTCCATGCATATATAAAATATTGATTCCTCAATTACTAATAAAAAATGTAATATACATATTGGAAAATAGCACACCATATAACTGATAATGTTTTACATTCAGATGTTATTCACCTGCCTTTTATTCTAATAACATATAAAAATAGAAGTAATTGGGGAAAAAATGAAGAAAGGACACTTCTGAGTATTTTTCTAAAATAATTAGCAACAATTGAATGCTACTATTATAGTTGATAAGAGTGTGTGCTTCAATGAATATCTCCAAAATCATTAATTCAATACAACATAATTCATACAATAAATTTCAATGAATGATACTCATTCACTATAGCATTTCCAGTAACTATTTTGTGTCAAGCACTGTTTTAGGTGTTAGAAATTCAGAGGCAAATAAAACAAACAAAAAAGAATCTACAAATATGGATCTTATATTCTCCTGAGAGAGACCAAAAATAAACTAAAAAGATTGATATTCTGTTAAATTTTACATAGTGAAAGTGTTATAAAAAAATAAAGTCAGTGAAAGTAAATAGAAAAATGCAAGAATTGTTTTTATTTTGCTTTGCTTTGCTTTTTTGAGGTTTGAGGGGGCATTTATTGAGCAGATAAAAGAATGACGTGAGGGAGAGGAGCACATAAGAATCCGGAGGAATCATCCCAGGCAGATGGAACCACAAAAGTGGAAGCACTACACCAGGAATATCTTTAGTGGACATGAAATCAGAAAAGAAAAGCAAGTGTGTATGTGTGTGTGTGTGTGTGTGTGTGTGTGTGTGTGGAAGGGGAGTTGGTTCATGAGGGCCTGGCTGAATGAATTGTGTAAGGTCTTCAGGCCATAAGAAATTGTTTTTACTCTAAATAAAGCATTGGAAATTTTTGAACAGGATTTTTAAAGGACCACTGACTTCCTGTGTGGAAGACAAAATAAAGGGGAAGAAAAGTGAAAGCAAGAAAGCAAGTTAGAAGTCTAATATAAAAAGTAAATAAAAATTCAGAAGAAAGATGAAAAGGTCTTGTAATAGGATGGCAGTATGAAGGGAGTGCTTGAGAAATATTCACCATTAAGGTGTTTTGAAAAAGTGGTTGATTTCATTCTTGCTGTGAGAGATGAGAAATGACTATTCATCCATAATTTTTCATAAATTATTACCTGAACAAACTCTTAGCATGTCATTTTAATGAATAAAAACATAGACTATGAATGACAGAAGTTATACAGCCTTGTTATTTTAAGGCTTCTTTAAGAATAACTTCAATATTATTTCATTTGCAGAAAATTGTAAAAGAAAAACAGAATTTTTGAATTATGTTTTTTGATAATATTTCTAATACAATTACCATTGACTTTTATCTTACAACTTATCTAGGTAGAAAAATATTTTCCCCCTAAACTTTGAGAATATATTTAAAGGAATTTTAACGGGTTGTTATAATTACAATAAGATGAGTCAAATCAAAATTAGTGAAATAAGTATCACAATATCAATGAATATTTTCAGATTCATTTTTTGACAAATATAGTTAACAAATTTAAGCAGACATAAATACTATAGACATTTTTACAAATGTAATTCATGTAACATACACTTTTAAGTATCAGGTTGACAAAGATTAAATATTACCCAAAAAACCCACCTTGTCCTTTTTATTTAAATATCCCTAGAGCAAAATTCAATGTCAATGTTGATAGTATGTATAATACCCCAAACAAGGAGTTTTGTGGCCCATTCCACAGTCCCAACACTTCTAATCAATGAACACAAATGGAACCTGTTCATCGTCAAGAACTATTCCACCCTCCAAAATTTTTAATCCATCCTTGCGTGTTAGGCTTTCTTTCAAGAGTATATCACCCAATATAAATCTTTAAATATAAACTCCATATGAATATTTTCCAAATCCAGATATCTATCTTGTCCTTTCTCCCCTCTCTCTCTCTCTATATATATATATATACACACACACACACATATATACGTATATATATACACACAGATATATATATACATATATATACACACACATATATATGTGTATATATATATACATATAGAGAGAGAGAGTTTATTTGGGATGGCACTGATAGTCTGAAACACAACTGACCACCTTTCTTTATCAAAAATTCTTCTTGGTTTGTTTCCTATGCTTTTAAAGTATGCCATATATTCAGTCACAATGGCGAGAAATTTTTTAAAAATATCTTTAACTTTCAATCTGTCTTTCATATTGTTCTCTACCCTGTATTACTGATATGCCCTGATATGGACATATCAATAATATCTAGTAATCTAGTTCTGATATGGACTAGATTTTTACTGTCTATTTTTCTAGTTCAAGATCTCCTCATCCCTGATCTAGACAATTACAAACATTTTCTAACTTTTCATCCTATTTTCAGCCCCTTTTCTCTATACAACATCTCACACATTGCTATCATGGTTATTTTCCCAGATATAGCTGGATCCAGCTTTTTTATGCCGCTTCCTCATAAAAAAGACAATGAATGCTACCCCTTGCCATCAGAATATATTATAATTCCTTATGAGATACAAAGCTCACTAGTGAGCTACAACCTCAACTCTTTCAGAATATTTTTAACATTTTATTTAATTTATAATCTTTATTGTTCTATTTATAATCTTCACTTTAATTGTTGATCCTTGTCCCCACGGCACTGTAACACACGGTCTCAGTTAGTAACTCTATCACCTTGAATTAGACACACACATGAATATGTGCATACACATACATATATACAATCTTTCTTTTTGAATGGAGTGCATGGAATAGTGGCTGTAGAAGGTTAAACTACAGGCTATCACATCCACCTGCGTATTTAACAGATCTAGAAACTTTTAAAACAAGCTTATTAAGAGAGGTGACATAGTAAAATTTAGGTGTTGTGAAGGAAAAAATAAATGTTGAGTTACAGCCGTAGGGTCCCTACTCTCCAGCTTCTGGTCACATGGTATGATAACTTACAGTCAGGCATCTGTGGTCTACAGATGGTTGTGGCTTTGCGCTTACTGGAAATGTAGTGCTACAGGTTCCTTCTGGAACAATGCCAAAATCCGCAACTGCCTCGAAAGACTGGGTTGAAGCCTTAGAGATGGCAAGGTGAAGCCAGAGGGATTAGAGGTATTGAGCTCGGGGAAGCATCCTAAAAAAGTACATGTTATGAAAAGGTTAGTGGCCTTCGTCTGTGACTAAAACTCATACCTTTCTTAGAGCTCCAGTCCTTTTTCTAGTTATCCTGCACAGAGCATCACTATCCATACAAATAGTACTTCATACTTTAATTATTCCAAAATCCTTGTCACAATAAAGTAACTCAAATGATCATTGTTTCAAATATATTATCATACTTAGGGATACATTTTATTGATCAACATATCTTTTTATGTAGATTAAGATAATTTATAAGACCCAAACACATCCAAATCCTAAACATGGACAGTTTCCAGATCTGTATCCTTAGGAGAAATCATATCAATAGGCTGCAGTACCAGAAAATAAATTTATTTCACTGACATTTTGCTTTTATTTTCCCATGGTGCAAATGAATAAACAAAACTAAGAAATTTTACAGATACATTCATTGCTGTGGTCTTGCCACAGCATAGATTAAATCACAATAGATATATGTTTGAAACATTTGATTATGTCGTAGTGAATTTTGAGATGGAAAAGGAATACTTCTACTCTCAAAAAACAAAATTCCATGTCTTATGAAGTGGAGGTTTCAAAGTAAAATTAGATCAGTACAGTTTATATTTATTATTCAATGAAATAAAAAACAAGTGCCTACCCATCTCGAACAGTAGGAGAAAAGAGAAGATACAAAATTCGTGTCTGAGTTAACATTTTAAATCTCTGCAACATGTATTTAGTTTTTCTTTTTTACTCTCTTCTCTCATTGAAGCAGGACTATATACATACAGCTAGGAGAAACATGTACAGTATATAGAGAGATAAACAGACAGACATAGACAAAAAGAGCGGGAGAGGAGAGATGAAGGGAGAGAGAGTGCCCTGGGTGGGGTCTATGTTGTAATGTTATTAAAAATGAAAAATATAAAATTATTATAAAAAAGTAAAATTGGCCGGGTGCAGTGGCTCATGCCTGTCACCCTAGCACTTTGGGAGGCCGAGGCAGGTGAATCACGAGGTCAGGAGATTGAGACCATCCTGGCTAACATGGTGAAACCCCCATCTCTACTAAAAATACAAAAAATTAGCCGGGCGTGGTGGTGGGAGCCTGTAGTCCCAGCTACCAGGGAGGCTGAGGCCGAGATCATGCTACTGCACTAGAGCCTGGGCGACAGGGGTGACAGAGCAAAACTCTGTCTCAAAAAAAATAAAAAAACAAAAAAAATAAAAATGTATATTGTTTTATTTTTACTTATAGTAGTACTTTATTTGAAAGCACATTTCCAGCTTGACATGTGGAACTTACCATTTATGACTTTTCATTTCACCTATACTATCCAGTGCCACAAACCATATGTGGAGATTTAAATTTAATGATTTACATAGAATAAAATTAAAAATTTAGTTTCTTCATCATACTAACATTTTAGGTGCTCAGTAGCTACATATGACTGGTGGCTCTAATATTGGACAGCAACAGGCAGCATTTGTAAAGACTATCTTAGATACCATAGAATTCCTTAATGCACCTTGAATTATTATGTTTAAAAGAAGTTCTTATATTTTTTTCTTGACAAACTTGAGAAACATTTTTAACTGTAGCAGAAAAAGAAAGAAAATTTTTTCAGTTAAAAAGAGAAAGCTTCACTCTAATATTCAGGTCTTCTTATACATTTGGTTACCATAGCTCACAGAAGAGAGTACGTTCAAAGGAGAATTACTGCCTTGCTCACAATTGAACAAGTTATAAAAAAGCTCAAAGATAATAAACAAGAAGTTCTTGATGAACACAAATATTCTCCACTAATTAAAATTTAAAAAATGTGTTTATGCTTTAGAAATACCTGAAAACCTTCCATAATTTAAAAATTATTAAGCAGCATTTGTATGTCATAAGACATTTGTAAATTTATCTCTTTTTCAATCTTTCAAATGCTATAGGAGTAGGACAATTAAAAAACTTAACTGACTGAATAAATCAAAACATTATTATGATCAATATAACATCACAAATCACTGTCACATTCTCATTAATTTTAGTAAGTGCATTTTAAAAACAATTATAGTTTGTATTTGTTGCATACCTACTATGTAGATGATCTCATTTAGACCTCATTACAACCCTATGTTTGTTAACTTTATTTTCTGATGGATAAGTCAAGGCTCAGAGCAGTTAGCTAGCTTGCTCAAGATGACATTTCTAGTAGTGCAGCTACGTTTTGAAATCTGGCAGATCATCTCCAAAGGTTCTACTTAAAAATTGCTACGATAATACTGATGTTTTGTTTATTCAACAGACATTTGAGCCTCTCTTTTATGTGTGTGTATGAGTGTGTATGTGAATGTGTATGTGTATATGTGTATATACATACCAAGCACTGTCCATTTCTTTTCTTCTCTAAAGATATAACAGAAAATGAAACACATACAGATACACACAAATACATACACATACCACACACAAATACATACACATACCACACACACATTTTTAAAACTAAATTGAAGATGTACATTATATATTTTAATTTATAAGGATCATGTAGATATGAATTATGAAATTTAAAATTTTTCTAAAGGTACATATTTAAAAGCACTTAGAACCATGTTTTAGTTCCAGCAATTAAATGGCTTAGTTAAAAAGAAATAACATTTTTTATATGTAGTTTTCTTTTAAAAGTAAAATCTGATCAAGTAATGAAGAAAGAGGTAGATGAAAAGCAAATGCTATAGGTTATCTTTTGCAATAATAATAAATACAACTTTGAATAAATACTTAATGATAATTAATTACAAATATCTAATTTCACAACATGTCAGCTTTGCTAAAATTCTGTCGCGCAAAAGGGAATTCTTGACTCTAATCTGGAAGCCTTGTACCAAATATTTAGTATGCATATGACATGTTTGTGAAGACTTAACTACCTGAATAATGTATTTAATCAAGAAACTTAAATGCAATGTGTTTTTCAATGTCTGCTGATTAGGAAAAAATATGATTAGCTCCCCAAAACTTAAAACTTAGTGCTAATAGTATGTATAATGTTCATTTAGAGTTTCAATTTAAGTCTTAAAATAAAAATTAAATCTAAAACTTCAATATGATGTCTGTTTAATTCATGATACAGTCTTTCATCTTCATAAATAACAGTGAACAGTAAAAAAGAGATATCTTCAAATTAATACAAATAACATAATTTTTTGTCATAATTCTTTGATAAATAAAATCCCTACTTGGAATGCCTCTTTTTCTTTTTCTCCTAAACTATGAAAGAAACCCTGATAAATATAAAACTTTTAATATAAAACTATTATACAGTTTAAACTTGTTTGTTTAAATGTTTATTCTATACATTTCCCAGGACACTATTGTTGAGAAAGAAAGGGATTGCACATGAGAATTTGTAACATGCCCCATGTGACGGTTAATATTAAGTGTCAACTTGATCAGGTTAAAGGATTCAAAATATTGTTTCTGGATGTGTCTGTGAGGGTGTTGCCAAAGGAGTCAGTGGAATGGGAGAGACAGATCCACCTTCAGTGTGGGTGGTCATCATCTAATCAGCTGCCAGCATGGCTAGAATAAAGCAAGCAGAAGAAGTTGGAAGGACCAGACTTTACGCATCTTCTGGCCTTCATTTTTCTCCTGTGCTGGATGCTTCCTGCCCTCGAACATTGGGCTCCAAGTTCTTCAGCTTTTGGACTCTTGGACTTAAACTAGTGGTTTGCCAGGGGCTCTCGGGCCCTTGTCCACCACTGAAGGCTGCACTGTTGGCTTCCCTACTTTTGAGGTTTTGGGAGTACTGGCTTCCTTGCTCCTTAACTTTCAGACAGCCAATCATGGGACTTCACTTTGTGATCGTGTGAGTCAATTCTCCTTAATAAATTCCCTTTCATATATATGTATATCCTATTAGTTCTGTCCCTCTAGAGAACCTTCACTAATATACCCCATCAGTTAGATTACTTGAATTCCAATTCATTCTTCTCTCATTCCTAGAACATCTCTTCCTCCAACCAGTGCCAAGGATGAGGGACAGAAAACATTGCTGAAATAGTTTAAAATACATCACAATGTACAATGATTCTCCTGCTCACTGATATAATTGCCATGGCTATTGTCAAGGTACTTAGGTATATTTCCCTCCAAGACAAATAATTCTTTCTGAATGCTTTATTCATCCTTCAGAAAAGGAAAACTCACTTTTCAGTGTATACTTTAGAAAATCTGGCACAAGTCACTCCCCCAAAATAACTCTTCTGGTAGAGATCAGTCTTTCCTAATCTTTACCGTAGGGCTGCAGCTTTCTAGTTTGAGACATCATACTGTATTTCTTCAGAGAGATTTAGTATGAACCTCAGACAAAAAAACATGAGTTCCAGGTAGCTTCTACTTCTTTCATCAGTTTTCCTAATTAATTATTTCTATCAAAACTTGCTGTATACATATTCTGTTCCAGGCACTGTGCCTCAAATATTAAATATAAAGATGAACCAAAGCTTATGAAACTTAAGCCAATGGGACATAAACAATAATCAAATAAAGACACAAGTGTCAGAGCACTTCTTTTTTAGGAGGTTTTGTAAGTGCTCCTCATTTATGAAAATTTTGCAGCACTTGAAAATTTCTGATCAATCTTCCCAGCATTGGATAGGAGGCAGAGAACACAAAATCCCTAGTGACATCATTGATGTTATCTGGGATGTGGCATGCTTCCTCCCTTCGCTGTTCACACTATAGTGCCATCAATGTATTTAAAATCCAGCTGAGGCCGGGCGCGGTGGCTCACGCCTGTAATCCTAGCACTTTGAAAGGCCGAGGCAGGCGTATCACGAAGTCAGGAGATCGAGACCATCCTGGTTAACACGGTGAAACCCCGTCTCTACTAAAAATACAAAAAATTAGCCAGGCGTCGTGGCAGGTGCCTGTAGTCCTAGCTACTTGGGAGGCTGAGGCAGGAGAATGGCGTGAATCCGGGAGGCGGAGCTTGCAGTGAGCCAAGATTGTGCCACTGCACTCCAGCCTGGGCGACAGAGCGAGACTCCGTCTCAAAAAAAAAAAAAAAATATATATATCCAGCTGAATCATTCAGGATGTTAATCCTTTGTGAAGTGGATATGGATTGGGTATAGATTTTGGTGTGTCGGCCAACTAGAACAATTCCCATAGTAGCAAATCCCCTCGATTCTTCTCATGACTTAGTGAATTCGGACTGGAAATTCACATAAGGAATCCTCTGCAGATAACAGCCATTGTGCAAATATATTTCTCTCGGAGTACACAAGTAACTATTGAGATCTTCTGGAAATGGCTAGTAAAATCGTATCTTGCCATGCACATGATATTGAGATATCTACTTTCTGAATTCAAAGGCAAAAATTCTTAGTCATTACTCTCAAAAGTGTCAGCACATTCAAGTGATTATGTGTTCTATGAAGTAACCAATACATAGGTTTTTAATATGTTTCACAGCTACTGTATGCAATCACAGACAAGCCACCTCAACAGTTTGTACTTTCATTTTCTCATTCATAAAACAAAGATAACATTTTGTAAAATAACATAATCGATGTAAAACATTGAAAGCACTGCCTGGCACATGATACATACATATGAAATTATGTTGTTTGGTTGATATTAACTATATATTAATTGATACATAACAAAAATGATGTACACCAGTTCTAGGATTTGGCTGCTATGGATAGGTTTTATGTATGATACATGAATTGAAATTTATTTTTATAGAAACACAACTTTTAAAATCTCAGAAAGGCCTCTATATATGTCAGATATTTAACAAGCCACTTAAAAATATGTTTTTTACAATATTGACTGTATTATCACAATACATGTGGGGAGGATAACACATAAACCATTGCTTTTCACACATTCTCACTCACAGCTACCATTTCCAGGAAATTACTACCTTAAATTTTGAGCTCTATGTACTTCTTTTCATTTCCCTTACCTAGAATTTCCTAATGTAGTGCCTAAAACTTCTCAAAAAAATCAGCGCCACCCTAGACTACCATAGAGGCATTATGAAAAACATCATGGACATGATGAAAAACATTAAGAAAAACAACAGTGACATGTTCTCAGCATCTACACAGCCCCCTCACACAAGTTTCCTTAATATTTGTCACATGGCCACTATTTCCTGTCATATAACAGACATTAGCAATATAAAGATAAATACATCTCTCCCTTGCTGGACTCATCATCCACCAGGAAGATACATATGATAAGGCATCTATGATAAATAGAGGTAAGTCCTATTAGCATCGCAACGAAGGGTACAGAATGAAACATAAGTTCAACTGATTGAGTCAGTTCCCTTCATAATGAAATAACATTGGAGATGTGCTCCAAAGGGGACATGTTGAAGGGAGAATATTTCAGGAAGAAAGACCAGCCCAGTAAAAGTAAAACTATGTAGGGTGTAGTTCCAGCTACTAAGAAGGCTGAGGCAATAAGATTATTTGAGACCAGGAATTCAGGACTTTATTGCATTATTTTCTTGCCTGTGCATGGCCACTGCACTCCAACCTGGGCAAAATAGAAAAACCTTGTATCTAAAAAAAACAAAAACCTACAAACAACAACATCAAAGATGTAAAAATGTGTGTTGTAATCGGGGGAACACTGAACAATTCATTTCGACTCGGTGTAGAGCACCTGGCAGAAGGCACAGGCAATGAGATTGCAGGGAAAGTTCCAGTCAAGTGTTAATAAGGAAAGGGCAATATTTGCACACACACAAAAAAACAGATCTTAGTAGAATTAATATACCATAGCAGAGCTAGCATGAGGTAAGGAGGGACGTATAAAAATTACAAAGAAAACAGTTGCGAAAATTACACATGGATTAACTAATGGTGGGCATTGACATGAAAAATGAATGGATTAATGGGAGAGAATTGGAGAATGATTTTACTAGATATGGCGACTGATTCCAACTTGGAAGAGAAAAAGAGAGATGAGCATAAGAAAAATTAGAAGTGTCACAGATTGAAATAATTTGGAATGAAAATTTAGTTCTACAAGTCGCACATAATAGGTAAAACCTGCATAGTCACAGCTCAGATAATGCACAATAACACTATTTAACTAATACCTCTGAATTTGTTTTATGTGGCCTATTTTCATTTTGCAGCAGAAAACAGCTTTCAGATATCCTAGTTCATTCTGACTAAAATAATAATATATTTTAGGTCAATGGTCTATTAAATTCTGGTTCAATTAGCTCAGACAATGTCAGAACACCTTTCATCTTCTTTATTCAAACATTTTTATCTCCCCTGTATATTAGTTCTGTTTCTATTTTTATGGAGTTTATATGTTTGTATCTCTAAGATATTAGGAAGTGTAGGAAGAATGGATTAGCATACAGACGTATAGGTTTTTGGGAAATTTAAACACATAGTACTTCTGTTTACACAACCTAAAGCTTAAAGATTGAATCCACATGAAAGTTGTCTCCAGAGGAAACCTGAAGTGAAAATTGTCACCAGTCACCAAGCCAGACTGGTGCAGGAGCAACTTACATGGGCTTATTGGGGCCAGTTATGTGAAATTCTTCACTTTTCCCTGTTTATTGACTTCATATTCATAGCTTGAAATTAGCCATGGTGGGCATATTTACACTGAGAAAATTTTACCAAATGCTACAAGTAAGATTTCCCTCCCCTCCACCCCTAGAACAGGCTATTAAACATTTACTAGCTTCATCTAACTATTCTTCCTGGCCATTTCTCCATTTTTCTTCCTCCAGGACTCAACAGTGACAAGCATGTTTGTGGTATTTGTACTCAGAAAACTCCCAGTGTTAAGTGGGTGTAAGTTTTCTCAATTCATCAGTAATTTCCAAATCCCTGGAATGTTTTCTTATCATTCCAGTGTTCTCTTTCATCAGGAAATGATTAGTGAAAGGGGAGAAGATAAATTTTCCTTCAACATGTCCATCACAGAATGGGTCTCTTCATGAAAGCTTCATGGCAAAAGCCAGAGCAGTAGTTCTGAATCTGCCAAGCCATGTTCTTTGATGATGCCCTGACCTGCACTTGCCCTTAACTGTGCTGTCCATGAGAAAAAAAAAATCCATTCTTCTCTTTTGGCCTTAAATATAATTTATGTTTGATCTGATGATGAGAAATGTCATGGAAATCTAAGATTAAGTTCTGCATACAAAATTTATTGTATTTCTTAGTCTATCATACCTAACAGTATTACAACTTAAAATTTTATAAAAACACAGTAATAAAATCACAAAAATGTTTAGCACTTTGAGTATGTAAAAAATGTTTTATATTTTATTTTTCAATGGCACTTAATGAGTAGTGTATGTCAACTATGTGTTAGGTACTATGTTGTATGAGCAGTGACTTTAAGGGCCTCACTGTTCAGTGAGGAAGACAAAATTTAACTACTCGAAGTTTAGAAATAAAAAAAAATTATCAAAAGAAAAAATCATTGAGAAGTTGAATGGATTAAAATAGCTATTTGGAAAATAAAGGAAAGCAGGTAGAATATGAATTATGATTCAGGGAAGCATAAGGAAGGGAATTTGTAAATATGCGAGAGATAATGTGGACTGGTGATGGTCAAAACAAATGGGAGAATACAGGGAATTGGGGAAAAGGGTTACAAAGAGATAGAGGTCAAAGTTTACAAAGTTTCTTGAAATGCAGTGACTATAGGGCTTGATAGGAAGTATAAAAGCGATATAAATTATTAAGTGGCAGTGGCATCATGAAAGGAGCTGTTAGTAGAAATATTTCTTCCCCACTCCTGATGTTGTCTTCTATGCGGAAGGCCTCTTCTTGTCCCTCACTCTTTTTGTCCCAGGAGTCCCAGAGTTTAACTGATTGGTAAACTGAAAAATAATATTTAAGTTTCCCGCCCACATTAATAAGCCTGCCTTTAACTTCCCCCTGGTCCTCCTGGATGAAGCCACTTCCCTGGGGTCTGGGCCAGTTTAGAACTTCCTCTGCTTTAGGTTGATAAGTTTGCCAAATTCTTGGGTTTGGGTATCAGTCATATTTAATTAGATTCCTCAACATTGTCTTTATTGGTATATTGATATTTTGTCATCCAATTTGCTTTATGTTTTTGTCTTATTTTTTAATTTGTTGAGAATTTGAGAAGAGAAAAAGGGTGTCTTTATCAGACCAGTTAACAGACTCTCACATGAGTATGTCAGGAAAAATAGTCTGGTAAATTGGTAAATTGAGCCAAGTATGGAATGGAGGGTAAAGATGCAGCTAAGCAGCTAATTAAAAAGAGATTTCAGTGTTCAGTCATATGTGAAATAGAACAAGGTGTGGCTTTAAAAATATAGATGAAAAGTACATTTCCCAGAAAAGAGAAAGAGAAATTCTAATGTGTAAAAAATAAAGAATATGTAGAATTTAGATAATCAAAGATATAGCTTTGTGCACTTGAAGAGTAGCAGTTCATTAAAGAACAGTTTGGTCTCAAAAGTTTTTTTTTTCTTTTTTTTGTACATGTCTTCACTTATTTAAAAATATGTTCTTGGTTGAGGCTTATGATTTTTAATCATGCATTAAAATTTATCATGTCCAACTATAATGAGATGTTTTCAAAACAAGTTAATCAACATTTGCATTTCCACCATTAGCTTACTTCTTAATTGTGGTTCTAATCAAAACTGAATAAACTTTACCAAAGAAGAAAATTTACAGTCTTTACATATACTGAAAGATACAGAGGAGTCTGCTAATTAAGTTATAACAACTTTTCCCAAGTTTACATTTGTATCACAGAAAGAAATAGAGGGGAGGAAAGCAGGATAGAAAATCTAATAAAACTAGTTTCTCCCCAGTCAAAAAAAAAACAAAAAAACATGCCTGGGCAAATTTGTAACTTGAGTTCCAGTTCATGAAATGTGTTGCAGTAGGCCAGTCATATTTCATCTGGGAGGTCTAGAATTGCAGTTTCAAATAAGGTGTGGAGGTTTGTAAGTCAAGAGAGAAGAATGCTGTACTTCATAGTGGCTCACACTGGTAGTTATTTTATGAAACGAGGTTTATAACGTTAGCAATGAAAAGGTGAATTATCCAAATCACCTAGTTGTTTCCCTCTAGTATTACCTTCAATAAGTGTTTAAATCATTCAGATAGGCTTTACCGTGTCAACAGAATCATTAAGATCAATAAAAACAGTAATAATAAAAATAATGATATTCAAAATGACATTATTTAATTATAGATTACTACGTCAGATATTTTTTCTAAGCAATATTGTTGATTTTAACTATATCTATTTTGAATCTCTTAAACAATAGGTATACATTGTGTGTTTGTGTGGGGGTATGCACAGGCATATGCAGTAAGTGTTTGAAAGTCTTTCTCCTCCAGTAAAACAATGATAAAAATTTTTGAATTTGATGAAGCTGCTATTAGCATAATAACTGGACAAAAATATAGATATAGTTATGTTAAGACATTTATGTATAACTCTTTTTCATGCTATTATACTTTTTAATAAATTCAGAAGAAATAGAGGTGTTTAGCTTTCATAAGAAGTACTCTATACCTTTTAAATTTGTAAAAACTGTCTACGGCCATGCCACCCTGAATGCGTCCACACTTATCTAAGTTTATAAAAACTTACATGACTGCAGTGGTTAGCTAATGACATGAGTAAGTAAATGAACTCTGTGAAGATTAGGAAGGGCCAAGATGAAATGGGAGAGATTGAATTACAAATTAACAAACTGAAAGAAAAACTCAAGTTGCAAAAAGATAGTCTCAGAGACAGCAGTAACACCTTCTGGCTATAGTCTATTTTCATCTTTCTCATCCTAGTGTTATCAAGAGAAAAACAGTCTTAGATGCAACATAAAAATTTCAGAGACAGAAGAAATCTTCCTTTGAGGGCAGGTAAGCCAATTAATATTCTGCTTTGTAACAGATTATATATCCCAGTCAAAATAGAAATCAATGACTTGTAATGTTTTATGTTTGTTTATTTTTTGTAAATATAGAAGCATAAGTTATCATTATCCAAAAGTCCCATAGATGCAAGAAACCAAATCAAAATATACCAGAATTAAAAGGGTGTAAACAAAAAACTGACACTTCATAATATCGATTAGAGGTACAGACTCTGGAGCCAGACTAAAGATTAAATCATGTCTCTGAACTACTGGGCTGAATAACCTTAAGCAAGTTACTTAACCTCTCAGTTCCTCCATTTCATCATCTAGAAAATAGGAATAATCACAGTACATACTTTATAATGAGGGATATAGTGAGGGATAATGAGGATTAAACGTGTACCAATAATACTATCATTCTTTATGACTATGTTTACATTATGTAAATAAAACCTACTTATAACTTGAATAAAGAAAATTTTCAAGCATATTTAATTATATAATTCCTTATAATGCCTGAAAACCTCATAAAATCTAATTCATATCAATCATTGGGGTGAATTACAAACCATTTTCTATTTGTTAAACAGACATACATAAATATCCTCAATGGTGTTAAGGCTTGAGAAAACTACCATTTGTTTCCATAATACAAAGTAATTTGTAAAAATCAAATAATTCAATTATAGCCTATCTAGGATATTTTCTGAAAATATTACAAAGACTTTTCAAATTGTCAGGCTATTCTTATACATTCACATTTACATCATTTTTATGTGTAGTGCAGTACAATTCATACATTAACCTAATACTGAGATCTGCAATACAGAACTTTGTCAGAACTTGAAATCTGGTTATAGTATTAAATTAATAGAACACTAATGAAACTGAAATGCTGTTGGGATCAGTCCAAAATGATTTTATTTTCCCAATCACTTCGCTTTTTTGTTGCTTGAGATTTTCATTTGGACTCAGGGCACAGAAGATTCTTTCCTTTTTATATTTGCACAAGAGGAATAAAATGCTGCAATGACAAAACAGAAATTAAAATAATTAATTTGTACTAGAACTTGGGACAATTATAGACACTAAGAAAGGAAATAAATCATAAGGACATCATTTTTATGAATATGTAGAGGGCTGTAGATATGAATGATATGTAATTTATATACTCAGGCTTCTCATTTATTTTATTGTAGAGAATTGGGTCTTCAGATTTCAGTAGTTAATGATTAGTTAACACAGAGCACCTGGATTTAGTGTACAGATTATGCAACTCAAAAAATACTAGCAAAACTTAGAAATCAGATGGAGAAATGAAAATTCTCAATTATCTTTGTGATTCAAAAGGCAGACAAGGTTTGTTTTTAAAGTACGTTAAAAATAAGATATGTTTCTGTGCCGTATAAGAACAGAAAAAATAATGTTTTCTTTAATTTATACTTTATTGTTCATTGGCATATTTGGCAAATACAAAACTGGTGTTTACAACCGTAGTTATGAGATAAGCATATACACAGCCGACGAAATAAGCTAATTTTCAGATAAAAGGCACTGTGAAAGGATTAGCAAAGCACATGCTCTTTTGTCTTTCTTGTTGAAACACATTATATCATGTATCAATATATACTCTAAAGTTAAAACATACATCAGCAAACCTTATATGAAATATTTATGAAAGAACTGTGACTTTGCATGCATTGTACAGTGAATGCAAAGCTCAAGAATAGAACAGATTGATATTATAAACTTCTGTTGATAATATTGGCAGGAACACTCTGAAATACCTGTTACAAATGAAAAAAAAGAAGCCATCTCTTTGATTATTCAGAGAATGCATACTATCTCATGTAAAAGAGTAAATTGATGTAATTTTTCCTAGAATTTAAAAAATAAATTGTAAGAAAATACCTGCTCTTTTCTATTATTCTTTAACTGTGTCTTCAGTAGTACTTTGTGCTATAATTTAGCCAATTTGCCTATGTTTTATTGTTCCTCGTCTCCTGCTTCCAGTGCACTATTTCCCTTTGATTGAGGAGTTGCTATGACAGAAGATAATGGAGCTTATGGCACTCAGTGGGGAGCCTGTCACTGCTGACTCTGGCTGCTGCTTTTGTATTTCTTTGCATGTACTCCTCTGATTTTCTCAGGCACAGTGAGAAATAATTATAAAAGCCATGAGCCATTATAAAATGTTATACCACCAAATGGTTATTTTTAAGAGCCTTTCAATCTTCTAGGTCTCTTTGTTTATCCATAGAAGTGGTAAATTGTATCATTATTTTTCATTCAAGCTGAAGCATAGGGAGGAGAGATTGTTTTCTGCCTTTGGGGAGGCAATCTTTTGTTGTGTACAGTTTATATTACTTTTTATTTTACCTCTCATCTCATCAATCAAAAATCTTATGCATCTTGTATCTTCTATGCAAAGTCTTCCTTTTCTGACCTTGCTGAGGTTGTCTGCTGTTAATTCCCATGTCAGGACCAAGACATTTTTTGAGGATGATCTGGTAGACATAACTAGTGTTCACCAATATCCAGTTCTCATTCCTTCTCTGCACAAGGAAGACAATCCTTTTTAGCCCACTTCTATATGAGATTGGTTCAGAAAACCAGTCTGACCAATGAAATATGAGGCACATGATATCTGTCACTTCCGGAATGTGGAAAATGTCATTGATGAATCCCTATACTTTCGCTCCCGGCATAGCAACCAAGGAGACCTGATGTCCTAATGATGCAGCTACAGAATTTGATATTTCCGTAAGTCTTTGTCTCCCAAACATACATACCATTGTTTAGACATATAGGACATGTAGTGGAAGTTAGCACTTATCTTTTGTTTCCTAAGCCACAGAAATTTTAGCATAATCCTTTCTAATACAAACTAGCAAGATGTATGGTTATGGCAGGATTAAAACATGCTGTCACACGCATCTCTGTATAGCAGATTCCTAGAGAAAACCAAGGAGAGAAGGAACTAACGAAGTGCAGAGAAAAATGTAACCTAGATAAAGAGGCAGTGGGACAATTTGGAAAGAGAATAAGCTTGGATTCTAACCCTACTAACTTAATACTGTGTGCCATTCAACAAGTTATTTAATATTTTGACTCTCATTTTCTTTAGCTTTAAAATAGAGGATAATAGTATCTTGATAAACTGATAATGAATTTCAATACAATATTAACATATTAAAAAGCCAAATGATACATGTATGTGTGTATATATAGCTAATTCTATGTATAGATATAATACACATACACGTACGTCTATCCATCTACCTGTGTGTGTATGTGCATGTGGAAATGACTTATCTTTTCTACCATTTATTGTTTTACACTAGGCTCTCTAAGTCTTAACTTTGTCATTTGTAAAATGGAGAGTTTGATAAAAATATCTGATATATAGATTTTTGTAACAAGTAAATGGTATATTGAATACAATACAAATTGCAAAGTCTATAAGATATTGGATACTCAAATATATTAGCTATTATACTTATTATAGTCCCATAAATATGTTAAAATATATAGGCTAATTGGTAAAACAATAATACATAAAAACTTTTATCCTTTCAAAACGGTAAAGAGTTTTGTTTTTTTTTTTTTTTCTCACTAGCTTAAGATGTCTTTTAACATAAGTTTGAATACCTTCAGTTTTGCTGTTTATTTTAATGTTCTCTTTAAGGTTAGTCAGCATATTGTTGAGAAAAAAATTTGAGTTCACACTATCTTGTTGAACTCTTCAATACACTTTTATCTCTCAGAAGAAACCCAGTTAGTCTAGGGATTGTTGAAATTTAAACTGGTTGTCTTGCTGCTAGACCAAACTCAACCCTCCAATTTCTGCAAAAAGTAAAGTGAATATGAAGTAAAGTGAATGCCAGGTTAGAAACTACAAATTCAAAAGTAAAATCACGCGATGTATTTTTTGACAATTAAGACCATACATTATTAATCTTTATCCCTTAGCATATAATATCGCCCACTCATTGTGATAAGTATTGTAAATAACTTTGTAAATGCAATGTATCACTTAAGATACATTTTCAGGATTTGTAGGTTCTTTTTCAGTGTTCTTCATTTTCCTCCTTTAGATGCTTTTTTCATTCCACAAAAGTAAAGTTTATTAATTTCTATAAAGTGTTCTTGAGTTATTCTTTACATGACCAATGTTAAATAATGCCAGCAGACAAGTGAACATGATACCAAAATAAACCATATCATTTAGGTCCTGTTTTTTTAAAAAATGCAATAGACTTCCACTATTTAATCCGTTGTCTTCAACCTCATGTTTCATTGACCAATTTCCATCCTGAGGCCCTTACACGAAAATATATCAATGTTCTATACAACACAAATAAGCATAAGGGAAGCAAAAAGTAAATATAATATTTTATTATATGTTTCCTATGAGCAGAAATGTTTTAGGTAAACTTTTTGGCAAGAAACAACAAATAATTATTTTGGAATTAAAAACCAATGGGAAAAAAAAATAAATCTTCTAGATTCTTTGATCTAACTTAGTGGCAAGTAACAACTCTGAGAATCAATCATGTAGCAAAACATATACTGTATAATCAGTGGTTTAAAATTATTGTCATCCAGTATCTGAATTCTCTAAGAGATGTTAGCCAAAATAATTTTGCATCAAAGTGTCAAATCCAAAACAACTTCCCACAAAAACTCATGTTTATTGACCTTATTTTGATCGTGTTAGCAAAAATTGATTGACTATATCTAAGTGTCCTTTTTCTCCTAATATAACTCTATATTTGAGAAACTATAGCAAATATTAAATCTGACAAATGCTTACAATAGAAAGACTTTACCCATACTGTTAAGACGGATAACTTTTTTATAGTTTCAAATAAGAAAGTAGCTTGTTGAGTCACATGATATAATATTCATAGCTTACAAAAATGCAACTGAATTTGTGATAAATTAAGGCACTTTCAGATTTATATTTATTATACCAAAAGTTCACCTTGGAATCCTGGATTGACAATAATATTGATTTGATGAAAAAAGACTGTTTTCTCAAGTGGCTTTTTAAAAATTACTTAACAGATACATAGATAGATAAAGATAACAAATCCTATTTGTTTTTAAATTACTTGGGCTGGTTCAAGGATATTAACCATAAACTCATTACATTCTAAGGGTGAAAATTCAGAAGTATTGTTTGAATCCCAAGCCATTTTCTGGCTTGATTTAACATTATTTTATAAAATTTAATACTTATACCCCTTTGAGTTACGATATTTTCATGTCATAGCTTTTCTATTAAAGTGTGTGTGTGTATGTGTGTGTGTGTGTGTGTGTGTGTGTATCTGTTGTGTTATTTTTTCTTTTTTTTTTTTTTGGTGGGGGGATGTTCTTCATTAGGAGGCAGCATAATGTAGTTAAACAACTTTACTCCAGGATTTCACAGACTTGAATTTAATACTAGCTCAATAACTTAGTATTTACTGATTTTGTTTGACTTGTTTGGACTCTAAATGACTGAATATCTTCACCCACAAAATAGGGTTTGTGAAAGTCATTGATTCAAAGGGTGTTCATAAAAATGAAATCAGATTGTGAATCAAAATATTTAGCTCATTTTCTAGCACTTGCAAACAATAAACTACAGCTAGCACTGTGATCACAGTTCTATTTCTGAACCCACGATGTTAAATGCTTACTATTTTTCAAAGTGTGTACAGTTTTACAACGTATGAGTGGATGACTGTGTCATTTAAATGCTTATCCTACGTGATGTTTTGATTTTCTATTCCACAGTCTTCTATAATCATTCAGATAAATTCTGTACCTTTGTAATTTTGAAATTTTGAGTGACATTATTTTCTGGACCCTAAAAAATCATTTGTATACTTTATATATTTTATCACTACATTGTTTATCTTGATTTGTTTGGTCAATTTAAATTTTAAAATATTATAAAGTTTAATAACTTATTTAAGTTAATCTATTGATACAATACCAATATTTATTCTTATATCAAAATATGTTGTTTTTTCCTCAATCTGTTAATTTAATGAGTTTCACATAAGCTTAGCTGTTAGGGTTTCCTAGTGTGGTGGTTAATACTGAGTGTCAACTTGATTGGATTGAAAGACACTAAGTAATGATCCTGGGTGTGTCTGTGAGGTGTTGCCAAAGGACATCAACATTTGAGTCAGTGGGCTGGGAAAGGTAGACCCACCCTTAATCTGGGTGGGCAAAATCTAATCAGCTTCCAGAGAGGCTAGGATATAAGCATGCAGAAAAATCTGAAAAAAGAGACTAGCCTAGCCTCGCAACCTACATCTTTCTCCCATGCTGGATGCCTCCTGCCCTTGAACACCAGACTCCAAGTTCTTCAGTTTTGGAACTCAGACTGGCTCTCCTTGCTCCTCAGCCCACAGATGGCCTATTGTGGGACCTTGTGATCGTGTGAGTTAATACTTAATAAACATAAATAAATATATATATATGGTATATATATGTATTATATGTGTGTGTGTATATACACACACACACATAATGTGTATATATTGTACACATGTGTATACATACACGTTTACACATACATGTATATCCCATTAGTTCTGTCCTTCTAGAGAACCCTAATACATCTACCAACTTACATCTAGGTTCTCACCACTCATCTCTATTTGGAAATTTTTTATAAATCTGCTCTATTGAAACCTTATCAATTTACTGACTCCTTCTACTAATAATATAGTCAGTTGCTTAATTTTTTGAAATTTGTTTTTATTGCATATTTTAAGGTGTACAACATATTCTAACATACATATACATGGTGAAATATTTACTATAGTAAAAGAAATTAACATATTCCTCACCTTCCCTAGATACTCTTTTGTGTGTGTGGTAAAAGCACCAAAAATTTACTCTCAGCAAGTGCTCAGTATAAAATACAATATTATTAACTAAAGTCCTGAAGTTCTTCTTTATTTGACTTTTTTTTTTAAGATTGCACATATAAATGAGGCCATGCAATATTTTTACTGAGTCTGGCTTATTCCACTTAGCATAATGTCCTCTAGTTTCATTCATGTTGTCACAAATGGCAGTGTCTTTTTAATTATAGGTCTGAAGAGTATTATATTGTGAATATATGCCACAATTTCTTTATTAATTCATCCATCAGTGGACACTTAGATTGTTTCCACATCTTGGCTATTATAATACTGCAATGAACATGGGAATGAAGATATCTCTATGAGGTATTAATTTCATTTTAACTTTTTCTTTGTTTCCTTTGCATTACTGTATTACCCATGCTTTTGGAAACAAATTGTTTACACTTATTATTGCTTCTTTCTCACCTCCATTAAGTTCTTAGAATATTATAATCTAGTTTTCATATCTAATAAATAAGGTTTCCCTTACTAATTATAAGAAAACTTATTTATTTGCTTAAATTGATAGATAAAATTGTGTGTATTTATTGTGTACAACATGATATTTTGAAGATTATATACATTGTGGAATAATTAAAACTAGGTAACAAATGTAGTACTTCACATAGTTATTATTCATGTAATAAGAACCCTTATCTACTATCTTTGCATTTTTCAAAAATACAGTGTATGGTCATTAACTATAGTCATCATGCTGTGCAATAAAACTTTTGACCTTATTTCTCCTATCTAACTGTAATTACATATCCTTTGACCAACATCTTCCCATTCTCTTCCTTTCCCTAACCATCCAAGCCCTGTCATTTGTGAAAACATGAATGAACTTGTAAAACTTTATGTTATATGTAATAAGCCAGGCACAGAAAAACACATACCACATGATTTCACTCATGTTCAGAATCTAAAAAAGTTGACCCCATAAAAGTAGAGAGTAGAATGCTGGTTACCAGAAGAAAAATTTCTATATTGCTTTACCTAATAGACATTTGAAATTTTAAGACTCTCTAGCTTTGGAAGTCCCCACTCTATTCTTCAATGGCTTCCCTTCCCTAGTGTTATGAAAATACTTACAGCAATTCCTGTTGATGTTTTCTCCTAAATATCATTCAGTACATCATATTTCTTCATCCCACCACTGTAGACTGATTGAATTGTTCAAAAGATAAAAAGATATAACCAAGAAAATGTTTAACAGAGTCTTTAGAAAAAAAAAAGCACCCAATATATGTTAATTTCTATTCTTTAGCTTTCTAAAATTTTCATACTGGCATTCTTGTGACAGTTCCTCAGAGCTCTATTACCCCATCCAATTTATCATTACTTTCTCCATAAGGCTGATCTTCTACAAGAGACATAAACTTATAAGTCATCTCTAATTTCAGTTCTTTATTTTTTACGTGTTCTTCAATGATTAGACACTGACATAAAAATCAGGCATACAATAATTTTTGCTTAATAAGCAGAATTATGCCTCCACTTCAAGATTTTCTTATCCTAATTCCTGAACATGTTACTTTACAAGAAAAAAGACTTTGCATAAATGATTATACTAGGCACCTTGAAATGAAGAGATTATACCAGATTGTCCACTGGGAACAATCTAATTACATAGGACTTTAAAATGGAAGATGTTTTCTGGTATGGTCAGAAAATGTGACTGTGGAATAATGGCCGGACATGTGCAGCATTGCTGACTTTGAGGATGAACAATTATTTACTCTTCTTCACTGCAAGCAGTCAGTAGAAGTTTTTTTGTTTAAAAAACGGGAAAAGATTTTCCTCTAGAGCCTCCAGAAGAGATTGTAGCCAGCTGGTGCCTTGATTTTAATCCAGTAAGGCTCGTATTACATTTCAAACCTACAGAACTCTATGATAATATATTTATATCTATGTTGTATATATATTTATATTGTACATATATTGTACATATATATTGTTTTAAGCTGCTGCATTTCCGGCCATTTTTACATCAGCCACAGAAAGCCAATACAGTTTGCTCTGTGGATTTTGTCCAAGTTATAAGGGAATCACCCATCCCTCTGGTTGGAACTTGGGCTTAAGTGCTCTGAGGTTCTAAATAAACTTGAAAGGCAGTCTAGGCCACAATGAAGGCAATTCCTAGGCATGTAGTGGTGCTGTGCCGAGCTCAAAGCCAGTGGACTTGGGGAGCATACAATCTAGTGAGACACCAGCCAGGGTGGCCAGGGGAGTGTTTGTACACTCCTCACCTAACCTCAGGCAGCATAGCTCAGAAGTCCAAACAAGACTCTTTCCTTCTGATTGAGAAGAGGATAGGGAAGAGTAAAAATGACTTTGTCTTGCAACTTGAATATCAGCTCAGCCACAGTAGAATAGGACACCAGACAGGTTCATGAGGCCCCCATTCCAGGCTTTGGCTCCCAGATGACATTCCAGACACACCCAGGGCCAAAAAGGAACCTGCTAGCTGGAAGGGAAGGACCCAGTACTGACAGGAACACCTGCTTACTAAAGAGCCCTTGGGCCCTGAATAATCAGCAGTAGTAACCAGTTATTACATGGTATGTGCCTTGGGCGAGACTTTGGGATGCGGTGGCTTCAGGTGTGACCCAGCACACCTGTGGAGGCTATGAGGTGAGACTCCTTGAGAAAAGCAGAGAGAAAAGTAAAGGGGACCTTGTCTTGCAGCTTAGGTACCAGCTTGGCCATAGTGCGGAAGAACAACAAGTAGGTACTAGGGCCTTGGATTTTGGATAGGATTTCTAGACTTACTCTGGGCCATAGGGGAGACCACTACCCTGAAGAGTGAGCCTGGAAGCATTCACCACAAGCTGACTGAAGAGCCCTTGGGTCTTCAGTGAACATCAGCAGTGCGCTGGCAGTACACCCTATGGGCCTATGGTAGTGGAGCACAGGGGGAGAAACTCCTCCGCCTGGGGAAAGGAAAGGAAAATTAGGATAGACTTTGCTTGTGATTTCAGTGCCAGCTCAGCCACAGTAGAATAGAGCACCAAGTGGATTACTAAGTTTTCTGACTCCAGGAACAACATACCTGGAGCCACCTGGGGCCCAAGGAAACTCGCCACCCTGAAGGGAAGGAATCAAAACTGGCTGGGTTTACTATCTGCTGATTGTACATCCCTAGCGCCTTGGTCTGACCCAGCACAGCTCAGGTGGTGGTGGCCACAGGGGTGCTTGTGGACTCCACCTAGTTCCAGGCAGCTCAGCACAGAGAGAAAGAGAGAAATTCCATTTGTTTGGGAAAAAGTAAGTAATGAAAACAAAAGTCTCTGCCCAATAATCCAGATCATTCTTTGGGATCTGATTCAAGACCACTGAAGTGGTATCTCTATGAGTCTGCTAGAGTGACAGTGTTATTGGGCTTAGGATTTCCCATAATGCACATAAGGCTGGAATGACCAAAAACTTAGATTACAGCACCTGAATCCCTTAGAAAACATGGAAAACTTCCCCAGGAAAGACGGTTAAAAACAAGCTCAGGCTGCAACGATTACAATAAATACATAACTCTTCAATGCCCAGACACCAATGAATATCCAGAAGCATCAAGACCATCCAGAAAAACATGAGCTCACCAAATGATCTAAATAAGGTAGCAGTGACCAACTCTGAAGAAACAGAGACATGTGACCTTTAGATAGATAATTCAAAATAGCTGTTTTGAGGAAACTCAAAGAAATTCAAGGTGACGTAGGGAAAGAATTCACATTTCTATGAGATAAATTTACCAAGGAAAATAGAAATTAAAAAGAATCAAGCAGAAATTCTGGAGTTGAAAACCACAAGTGGCATAATGAAGAATGCATCCAAGTCTCTTAATGTCAGAATTGATAAAGCAGAACAAAGAATTAGTGAGCCTGAAAACAGGCTATTCGAAAATACACATTCAGAAGAGACAAAAGAATAAAGAAGAAAAAAGAATAAAGCATGCCTACAAGATCTAGAAAATAGCCTCAAACGGGCAAATCTAAGAGTTGTTGGCCTTAAAGATAAGACAGAGGAAGACTAGAATAAAAGACAGAAGACCCAAAACAATAAAATCAGAGATGAGAAAGGAGACATCACAACCAATGGCACAGAAATTCAAAGGATCATTAGAGGCTACTATGAGAAAATATATGTCAATAAATTGACAAACTTAGAAGAAATAGACAAATTTCTAGACAAATACAACCTACCAAGATGAAACTGGAAGGAATCTAAAACTTGAACAGACTGACAAATAATGGGATTGAAGCCATAATAAAATGCCTCCCTGCAAATAAAAGATCAGGGCCTGAGGGCTTTGCTGCTTAATTCTACCACATATAAATAAAAACTCATACCAATCCTACTAAAAGTGTTCTGAAAAATAGAGGAAGAGGGAGTACTTCCAAACTCATTCTACAAGGCCAGTGTTATGCTGATAGCAAAACCAGACAAAGACCCGTCAAAAAAAGAAAGCTACAAGGCAATATCTGATAAATATTTGTGCAAAAATTCCCAACAAAGTATTAGCAAACAGAATTCAACAACACATTAAAAATATTATTCATCACAACCAACTGGAATTTATCCCAGGGATGCAAGGATGGTTCAACATATGTGAATCAATCAATGTAATATATCAATAGAATGAAGGACAAAAAACATACGATCATTTCAATTGATGCCGAAAAAGCAATTGATAAAATTCAACATCCCTTCATGATAAAATCCCTCAAAGAAACTGAGTATAGAAACAATATGCCTCAACATAATAAAAGTCATATTTGATAGACCCATAGCTAATATTATAGTGAATGTAGAAAAACTTAAAGCCTTTCCTCTAAGATCTGGAACACAACAGGATGCCCACTTTTGCCATTCTTACTTAACATAGTACTGGAAGTGTTAGCAAAAGCAATCAGACAAAAGAAAGAAAAGGCATCCAAATTGAAAAGGAAGAAGTCAAATTATCCTTGTTTGCAGATAATATTATATTAAGAAAAAACTAAAGACTCCACCAAAACAACTGTTAGAACTGATAAATAAATTCAGGAAAGTTGCAGGATACAAAATCAACATACAAACATCAGCAGCATTTCTATATGCCAACAGTGAACCATCTGAAAAAGAAATCAAGAAATAATCCCATTTTATGATAGCCACAAATAAAATTAAATACCTATAGATGAACTTAACCAAGGAAGTGAAAGATCTTGACAATAAAAGCTATTTAAGATGTTCATGAAAGAAATTAAAGAGGACATACAAAAATAGAAATATAATTCATTTTCATGGTTTGAAAGATTTAATGTTGTTAAAATTTGCATTTTACCCAAAGGAACCTAAAGATTCATTTCAATCCCTATCATAAAATTCTTCAAACAAATAGAAAAAACCTTCCTAACATTTATATGGAACCACAAAAGACCCCTGACAGTTAAATATATTCTGAGCAAGAACAACAACAACAACTAAAAAAACTAGATAAATCACATTATCTGGCTTCAAATTCTATTACAGAGCTACAGCAAACAAAACAGCATGGTACTAGCATAAAAATAGACATATAGACCACTGGAACAGAATAGAGAATCCAGAGACAAATTCATACATCTATAGGCGTCTACAGGGAACTCATTTTGGACAAAGATGTCAAAAACATACACTGAGGAAAGGAGTCTCTTCAATAAATGTTGCTGGGAAAACTGGATATCCACATGCAGAAGAATGAAACTAGACCACTCTCTCTCACCATATACAAAAATCAAATCAAAATGAACTAAAGTCTTAATTCTAAGACCTCAAACTGTTAAAATACTACAAGAAAACATTGAGAAAATTCCCCTAGGACATTGGTCTGGGCAAAAAATTTCTTGAGTAATACCCGCAAGCACAGGAAACCAAAGCAAAAATGGGCACATGGAGTCACATCAAGTTAAAAAGCTTCTGCACAGCAAAGGAAACAATCAACACAGTGAAAAGACAATCCAAAGAATGGGAGTAAGTATTTACAATTATCTATCCAACAAAGAATTAATAACAAAGATATATAAGGAGCTCAAACAACTCTGTAAGAAAAAAATCTAATCATCTAATTTAAAAATGGGCAAAAGTTCTGATTAGATGTGTTTCAAAAGATGACGCACAAGTGGAAAACATATATAAAAATATGCTCAACACCACTGATCATCAGATAAATGCAAATCAAAACTACAATAAGATATCATCTCACCCCAGTTAAAATGACTTTTATCCAAATGACATACAATAAGAAATGCTAGAAGGATATGGAGAAAAGTCAACCCTCATACACTGCTGGGGGAAATGTATATTTGTGCAACTACTATGAAGAACAGTTTGGAAGTTCCTCAAAAATAGAACTACCATACTATCCAGCAATCCCACTGCTAGGTATATACCCAAAAGAAAGGAAACCAGTATATCAAAGAGATTCCTGCACTTCCACATTTTTTTGCAGCATTATGTACAATATTGAAGATTGGAAGCAACCCAAGTGCACATCAACAGATGAAAAGATAAAGAAGATGTACATATATGCAATGGAATCCTATTCAGTCATAAAACAATGAGATCCTGTCATTTGCAACAACATGGTTGGAACTGGAGGTAATTATGTTAACTTAAAAATGTCAGGCACAGAAAGATAAACCACATGTTCTCACTTATTTGTGGGAGCTAAAAATTAAGATAATCAAACTCATGAAGATATAGAGTAAAATGATGATTACTAGAGGCTGTGAAGGGTAGGTAGGAGGTGGGAGGGAAGTGTGGATGGTTAATGGTAACAAAAAGAATGACTAAGATCTAGTATTTGACAGCATAAAAGGGTGACTATAGTCAATAATAATTTATTGTATACTTTTAAATAACTAAAAGTATATTGGATTGTTTGTAATACAAAGGATAAATTCTTGAGGTGATGGATACCCCATTTACCCTGGTACAATTATTACACATTGTATGCCTATATCAAAATATCCTTTATATCCCATAAATATACACACCTATTATGTACCCAGAAAAAAAAATATGTTTTTTTTTTAAAGGCAAAAAACAGCAGTTGTTCCTGAGGATTTGGAGAAAGGAGAACTTTTATACACTATTAAAAGGAATGTAAATGAGTACAGCCACTATGGAAAACAGTTTATAGAATTTTCCAAAAACTAAAATATAACTACCACGAGATCCAGCAATCCCGCTACTGGGTATTTATCCAAAGAAAAATAAATCAGTATATCAAAGGGATACCACTCCCATATTTATTGAAACAGTATTTACAATAGCAAAGATATGGAATCAACCAAAGTGTCCAAAAATGAATAAAGAAAATGTACATTCCATTGTACATCACTTTCTGTGAATTCTTTCACAACACAGTTAAGCAATTATACATTCATTTATGTCCATATATGTACAAAAACATATGAAATATATAATATTAATAAAGATATAGAAATAATAAACAAGGCCTAATTGAAATTCTAGGTTAAAAAGTACAATAACTGAATAGAAGGATTCACTAGAAGACCTTAAAAGTATATGGTAACAAGAATAAAAATAAATCAATAAATTTGAGGCAAGATTGGTAGACATTATGTAATCTGAAGAACACAGAGAAAAAAGAATGAAGAAAAGTGAATAGACCCTCAAAGAAATGTGTAATATCATTAAGGGCAGCAAGACACACATATTGGAGTACAAGAAGAAAGGAAGGGAGGAAAAATAAGGAGAGAGAGCAAAAGACAGAGATGGAGAGTAGAAAAATATTTGAAGAACGAATGGGCTAAACTTTCCAAATATGATTTAAAAAATTAATCTACATGTACAAGAAGTTCAGTTAACATCAAGTAGAAAAAATGCAGATCAACACCCATACACATCCTAGTGAAATGTTGCCAGCTAGATAGAGAGAATACATTGAAAGAAATTAAAGCAATCATTTATTTACAAGGTAATCACCATAAGTTAGCAGTTCACTTTTCACCTAAAATGATAAAAGCCATGAAGCATTGCCTAAAGTTCATCAACAGATTAATGTATAAAGAAAATGTGATATATACCACAATAGTATTATACACAATGGAATACTATTTATTCATAAAACAATAAAATCCTGCCATTCATGGCGACATGAGTGACCCAGGAGGGCATTATGTTAAGTGAAATAAGTCAGGCACAGAAAAATAAATACCACAGATTCTCACTCATATGTGGGAGCTAAAAAACGTTGAACTCATAGAAGTAGAGAATATAATTGTGGTTCTTAGAGGCTAAGAAGGTTAGGGAGAAGGGAGGTTAGAAAGGGTTTGCTTAATGAAAACAAAATTATAGCTAGATAGGAGGAATAAATTCTAGTGTTCCGTAGTACTGTAATATTAATATAATGAACAATAATTTATTGTCTATTTTCAATAGCTAGACGAGAGGACTTTGAATCTTACCAACACAAATAAATGATAACTATTTAAGGTGATAAATATGCTAATCACTCTGATTTGATTATTACATATCGTATTTGTATATATCACAACATCACATGGATGTCATAAATATGTAAAATTATTAGATGTAAACCAAAAATGAAAGAAAAAATATGTAACATAAAAGGAAAAACACAAAATTATCAAATAGTGTTTATGTTATGAATTCACAAATAATAATCAGAGTAGATATGTGGTATTGCTTATGTTGACATATATGGATAAGACATGATCTTAAGAATTCATAGAAAAAACTAATTATAAAACTACACATAAAATAAAATTTCTAATTTTAAATGAGAATAATAAAATAAAATTGCATAATGTGTCAACACTAAATTGTAAATTTTTTTTTAACACAGAGTGGGAGAAAATATTTGCAAATTACCCACCTGACAAGGGATTAATAACCAGAATATATAAAGTAAATATTTTTAAAATCTGGATATTAGTTTTCCAGAAAACAGATATAACAGGATATACCTCTCTCTCTCATTCCCTTTCTCTCTCTCTCCCGTATCTATATAATATATAAAAATATTATATATATGTATTTTAAATGAGTATTGAGCTTTCTTAAAATCTGTCATACATTAGAGAGAAGGAAATTATAGAAATTGGCTCATGCAATTATGGAGACTTAGCAAGATCAAAATCTTTAGGGTAAGCCAGCAGGCTGGATACCCAGGGCAGAGTTTCAATTCAAGTCCAAAAAAGCCTGCTGCCATAATACTGTCTTCTAGGGAGATCAGTCTTTTTCTATTAAGCCCTTCAAATGTTTGGATAAGGCCTACCCACCATATGAAGGGTAATCTACTTTACTCAACTTCTACTGATTTAAATATTAATCTCATCTAAAAAATACTTTCTTAGAAGCATCTAGAATAACATTTGACCAAAACCTGGATACCACAGCCTAGCCACAGTGACACATAAACAAATCATCAAAATCCAATATACATAATGAGTTGGTCCTTTCAAATTATTATTTGTTCTTTCAAGAATTTTTTTTCAATTTCTGCAGTATTTTAAATTTTTATTTCAATATTATTTGGTAGATACTAAAATAGCTACAATTCTTTACCCCTTTCTTTTATCTCTGCACTTTACAAGAGTGTTGTTTTTTCCCTAACTACTGAATCTGGGCTGTCCTTGTGACCTGTTTGGTAATATATTGCTTTAGATGTGAGTTATGCCAGTTCTAAAAATAAGCCTTAAGGGACATTGTCTGCTTCCATTCTCTCACTTGTAACCTCTGCATTTGCCTTATGAACAAGGCTGGTTTAACTTTCTGGAGCCTGCGAGACAATGTGGAACTGAACCTATTCAGCTCAGTTTCTACTAGCTCCAGTTCCAGAAATAATATCATACCTTACCAAGAACAGCAGAAATGCTTAGCCCACCCGAAGACAACCATAGACGCAGGAAGGAACCTAGGAAATACCAGAGGGCAACCCAGCAGATCCACATAGATTCATGAGCAACAAACTGTCTATTGTTTTGCCAGTAAATATGGCAGAATGTCTTGTTACACAGCAGAGTAACTGATAAATTTTATTTCTAAACCTTTATTTCTAAACCTTTCCACGTTCAAAATTGGATACATTTTGATATAATTTATACAACAGTTCAAGAACATCCATTCATTTTTCTCTCAAAACCTTGTGAATTGTTTTATTGTTCTCTAACATTTGATTTGCTGATAAAAAAAAATCTTAACCTATTCTGAATCTCGTATTGGTAGATTATCAAATTTTACTTTGGAGCTATCTGATTTTAATGTTATCCCTTAATATGTAAATGTTACCAGGAATTGTCTTCTGTATATCTATATGTACATTTCAGCTTTGTCTTCTGTATATCTATATGTACATTTCAATCTTGAATAAGACATATTTCAGCATAGGAATTTTTTCTAATGGATTAATGATTATCCAGCTCGTTCTTTTAATATCCAAGTTCTAGTTCACATAAAAATTTCTAGAAATGTCTTCTATGTAGTATAATTTTCATTTAAACTTATTTATTTTGGGTCTTCTTACTATAAACATTCAAAGAGCAAAATTATAATTAATGTCTTTTTAAGTAATATTCCATCTACAATTTAGTGCCTCTAAATATGAGACAATATGCAATTTTGTGTGTGTGTATATATGTGTGTGTGTATGTGTGTGTGTGTCTGTCTGTAGATGTTTTAATTTTACATAAATGGTTCTGAGATTTTTTTTTTTCTCTACCTCTATACCATGTTCTGGTTTCTTGAACTCAATTTCTCATTAATTCTTTTCTTTTACATCTTGATAATTCTAATTAGGATATTTTAAATTGTATTCAATGTTTTGGGTCAACTGAGTTTTAAAGGGAAGCCTTTGCTTTATCTCAGCTTGGAATCTCTTCTTTATATATATGAATTTTTACTATATTCAGAGCTGAAAAAGGAAATTTCTCCAATTTACTAAGTGAACATTATGTGATAAATAAGATTGCTTCATGGTACATCTTTGTGCCATATTCAGCTGCTGTGAGATTAGACGTTGTCCTGGGTTTTAGCTGAAAAATTACCCAGTTCATTCTCAAAGTTTCCCTTCTTGTGTCATCTACATTAGGTATTTCTCCTAATGTTACCCTCCCCTTGTCCCCCACCCCCTGACAGGCCCTGGTGTGTGATGTTCCCCTCCCTATGTTCACGTGTCCTCATTGTTCAACTCCTACTTATGAGTGAGAACATGCAATGTTTGGTTTTCTGTTCTTGTGATAGTTTGCTGAGAATGATGGTTTCTAGCTTCATCCATGTCCCTGCAAGGGACATGAACTCATCCTTTTTTATGGCTGCATAGTATTCCATCATGTATATGTGCCACATTTTCTTTATCCAGTCTATTACTGATGGACATTTGGGTTGGTTCCAAATCTTTGCTATTGTGCTGCAATAAACATACGTGTGCATGTGTCTTTATAGTAGAATGATTTATAATCCTTTGGGTATATGCCCAGTAATGGGATTGCTGGGTCAAATGTTATTTCTAGTTCTAGATCCTTGAGGAATCACCACACTGTCTTCCACAATGGTTGAACTAATTTACACTCCCACCAACAGTGTAAAAGTGTTCCTATTTCTCCACATCCTCTCCAGCATCTATTGTTTCCTGACTTTTTAATGATCACCATTCTAACTGGTGTGAAATGGTATCTCATTGTGGTTTTGGTTTGCATTTCTTTAATGAGTGGTGATGATGAGCATTTTTTCATATGTTTGTTGGCTGCATAAATGTCTTCTTTTGATAAATGTCTATTCATATCCTTTGCCCACTTTTTGATGGGGTTGTTTTTTTCTTGTAAATTTGTTTAAGTTCTTTGTAGAGTCTTAAGTAGATTCTGGATATTAGCCCTTTGTCAGGTGGATAGGTTGCAAAAATTTCTTCCATTCTGTAGGTTGCCTGTTCATGCTGATGATAGTTTCTTTTGCTGTGCAGAAGCTCTTTAGTTTAATTAGATCCCATTTGTAAATTTCGGCTTTTGTTGCCATTGCTTTTGGTGTTTTAGACATGAAGTCTTTGCCCATGCCTATACAGAGTTTCATTAGTATGCACCAGGTACCATGCTGTATTTTATTTTATTTTTGCTTCTATAGCCTATGTAAAGTCTCAAGAGCCCAATGAGGAAGGTACTTTAATACTATATTTATAGTTTGGGAAGCTTGGGCTACAGAAATTAGTCATCTTGTTCCAGATGGCATGGCTCTTATTTGGTAGAGCTGGTATCCTAACATATGTCTATCTGATTATAGTTATTTACCACCATATGGCTTATGGCAGGGCAGTAGAATTTGTTTTATCTATCTGTCTATCTCTCTCTCTCTTTCTCTCTCTCTCTCTTTCTCTCTCTCTCTCTCTGCATCCATTTATCTACCTATCTAACCATCTACAATGTGTATATATAAAAAGAACAATGTGTGTATGTGTGTGTGTGTGTGTGTGTGTGTATTTTTTAATGAGCTATTAGCAAATAATAGGGTTAAATGCATGGGTTCAGCTGATCATCTGGGAATCTGAAATTTTCCTGTTTCTCAATGGAAAACAGCTTATCTATAATTTAATGGAGAAATTTGTAAATGAAGATTAGCATAACATTTGCCACTATTTGTTAATGTAAATTTTTGTTCAAATTTAATTAAATTCAAACTTTGAATTTAGATTAGACACCTACATAGGCTGTTTTGAGGAGTTCTGAAAGAAATTTGCTGTGCAGGAAGAATGAATGAATAAATGAATGAATGAATACAAGTAGGATCAAATTAGGCCTGGTAACATTATGCGGAAATGAGGGTGACTCATATAAAGTTACTGGGTTAATTTTAATACAGTTTCACATAACATAGCCTTAAATTTATAGTAAAAAAATTTGTTGACATTGTTGCAACATTAAAGAATGACAGATCATTCTTTGTATAATTTAGTCAGCACAAATATTTTAACTTTAAATAAGTCTCTAAAGGCAAATCTCAACATTTTCCAGTTCGGAGAGAAAAAAAGGACTATTCTGCCAAATTGCATACACAAGGGTATAGAAAAAATTTTAAAATGTTTGATTGTTTTATTCTTTAAACCTTTAGCCACCTTTGTCTGAAAGACAATTACCTTGGCTAATGTACAATTTAATTTATTTTAATGTCAGATTCTACTTCAGTAAGTACAGTGAATTTCTAAATTAGACACTATTTTAAAATATTTGTTTTTAAAATGTTTATGTATCTTTTAAGTAACCACTTAAATCAGCCCCTTTGTAATACAATAAGCTGCATATTATTATAGGTACTTTTAATTTAAATTACATTTCCAACTTTGTAATCATATAAGCATATGTTCCACATAATGACAGTCATCAAGATAATATTGATGTATAATTCATTTTGGAAGTTAGCCACATTCTTGCCTGCTCTGAACACAGAAACCTGTCATATGAATATATCATTCTATTTAGATTGGGAATTAGAATGTGTAGACTTTTATGACAGATCTTAGAAAACAAAAACAAAAACTAAAACAAACAATAAATAGTGTTGTACCCCTATGTAGATCTATGATTAAAATTAGCTTCCATGTCTGGTTTTTATTGTTTATGTTTATTTTGTTTTATTTATTTATATATTTTTAATTTCAACTTCAATATATAAATAAAAGAGATATTTAGTTAGGTTTCCCTGAGCAAATCCAATGCAAGTTCTTTTATTATTATTTTTATTTAATTGTGTTAAGAACACTTAACATGAGATCTACCCTTTTAACAGATTTTTAAGTGTACATTACCTCTTCTTAACTACAAGTCTAATGTCATACATTAGGTCTCTAGAGCTTATGCATGTAAAACTGCAACTTTATACTCATTGATTAGCAACTCTAAATCTTCCAAATGATATCTAAAAATACATCACAATCACATTCTAGAAATTCTTTGAGAGGAAACTGACGTAATCAATGTTTAAAAGATTTTCTTATACAATTGTATGTCACTTTGCAGAAGCCAGTTTAATAATTGCATTTTGGATGTTAGAAAATATGAACATCTGGTGGGAAAAATCCTTAGAACAAATATAAGATAGGATACAATATTCTATCAAAGGAAGGCGATTACCTTGACAATTCTCTTATGGTTTGATTTGATTTATTTCTCTTCTTTATTTTCATTTAATTGCTATAGGTTTTTTGGGAAAGATATATAGCTTTTGGCAGAAGAAAATCAGTGACAATGACTTAGAAGAATCTTAATCTCATGAAAGAAATAAATGCTTGTCAGTCAAGAAGTTGTAACCTTTACCTTGTTTTGACCTTTACATTTTCAAGGTGAGCCTATTATTTGGAAGGGAGTAACACAAAACTCCACAGGATGCTCTATGATCAATACAATCAACAAACCTTCACACTGTATGTTTAAAGGTATTAAGAAGATAAACAAACACATCAGAATTTTACCAGTTGGAATAATCCTGTATTGGATGCTTGCCTCATTTGGGGATTTATAATTGATCTCTTCTCTATCCTGAACTTCACAGTATTACTCTCAATGACTCTACAAAAGAAAAGGAGAGCTGTTAGTTAAATGTTAGAAAATTTTTTGGTTTAAAATTGAAGACAACTTGCATATTTATTAATTATATAAGGTGAAACATGGGAAGGAAAAGTTATTTTTTAAATTAAATTTTTACCTATACTTGTCCCTATATTAGTCCATTAAAATATTTTTGAGTACCTTCTATGTATATGTGACTGTTCTATTATGTGAGGACAGAGTAATAAACAAAATATACATGCTGTCTTCCCTTTTAGAGCATATATGCTAGTGCAAAAATGAATGTTGAACACTTTGAGGGGACATTAAGATACGTAATCAAAATTGTGATAATAATCAGAAAGAAGAAGGATATGACTAGAGCATATGACAAAATGCCCTGACCTGACCTATAAGAAAACTTATTTGAGGAAGTTTAATTTTGTTGTCTTAAAAGATTAAAATAAATTAACTAGCTTGGGGGTATGTGACCTGAGTGAGAAGGTGAATTTAGGAGTGGAAGCAAGAGAGAAGAGATGTCCCAGAAAATGTAACACAAAGGTCAATATCACTGAGATGTGAAGGAGCATGTCACGTCAGGAACTGAGAGAAAACATTATCATTAATTATCAGAGAAATGCAAATCAAAATGACAGTGAGATATCATCTCATATCACTCAGATGGCTGCTGTTAAAATGTTAAAAAATAACAGATGCTGGTGAGGTTGTGGAGAAAAGGAAAGCCTTATACACTGTTGGTGGGAATGTAAATTGGTTCAGCCATCATGGACAGCAGTTTGCTGATCTCTCAAATAACTTAGTACAGAGCTACCATTCCACCTAGCAATTCCATTACTAGGTACATACACAAAGAGAGAAATAAATCATTCTACCAACAAGACATATGCATGTGTACGTTCATTGCAGTGTTATTCACAATAGGAAGCCATGGAATCAACCTAGCTACCCGTCAACTGTGGATTGGATAAAAATGTGGTACATGTACACCTTGGAATACTACATATCCATAAAAAGAACAAAATTATGTTATTTGCAGCAACATGGGTGCAGCTGGAGGCCATTATCCTCAGCAAATTACTGCAGAAACAGAAAACCAAATACTGCATGTTGTCACTTATCAGTGGGAACCAAACATTGAGCACACATGGACATAAAGATGGGAACAATAGACAGTGGGCAGATTACTAGATGGGAGAGGGAGGGAGAAGGGAATGAGCTGAAAAACTACCTATTGGGTACTATGCTTGCTACCTGGGTGACTGGATCATCTATACTCCAAAACTCAGCATCATGCAATATACCCATGTAACAAAACTGCATACGTACCTCCTGAATGTAAAATAAAAATTGAAAATAAAATACTGGTAGAAAAATTTACAAAGCATGTGTTGGGGTGATCAGACCCAACACCAGACCGTGGGGGCTACGAAGTCCGGCAGAGTCAAAGGAATGAGATAAGACAAGTTAAGGTGTAAAGTGGGACCGGGGGCC
Source organism: Homo sapiens (assembly GCF_000001405.40). Taxonomy (NCBI): domain Eukaryota; kingdom Metazoa; phylum Chordata; class Mammalia; order Primates; family Hominidae; genus Homo; species Homo sapiens. The sequence continues at coordinate 194,367,273 of NC_000002.12, forward strand.
AACGCTAGTATGGAGGCTGCAAAGGCCCAGAGCTCTGGAAGCCCACACTATTTTTTGGTGATCAAACAAAGAAGCAGGTGGTAAGGATGTGGGGGTTGAAAGAAAGCGGTGCATCAAGTGCGTGATCTACAGCTGTGACAGTTTAGCATTTTCTTTGAAGCATATGGAACATGTTCTGCTACTTGAGATAATGGGACACATGTTCTTCTGGTTTAAGACACAATCAATCCACAAGCCTGGGAGTGCCAGAAGCAAGGAGCTATCAAGTCTAGACACATTCCAGAGGCCATGAGTGGTTTTATGCCCTGAGCCCTGGATTCCATCCAAGCCACGAGGGGTTTTATGCCCTGGGCTTAGATTGTGGTGCAGCAGGGCAGCCTTCCGCCCTTTGGCAGAGAGCTTGGTGTTCCAAAGGCCTTGAGGGGCTTTAGACCCTGGACCCTGGACATGTTCCAAGACTCTTTTACATTATGTCAGGCATGCAAGCCCTGCCTCAGCTTTTTTCCCAACACTCAGCTTTTTCCTAACAGCATGTAGGGCAGATAATGAAGCCTGTAAAGCTACCAGGCTTTACTCTTTAATGGCATTTACCCTGAGAAGGCTCAGTCATCAGTACCTGTGTGAAAACTCTCTCTGTCTCACTTGGTTAAAGTTTTCATTTCTACTAGATAAAGTTTGGTTTTGTTTTTGAAAATTGCAAATAAACAAGGGAGTAATATTTTGGAACTTTCCGAAAACACTGTTTATCCACAGAATTTGACAGTAATCCAGTTTGCCTGCATTTAGTTAGCTTTCCTTCCAGCTTTCCTTCTGTCCTTTCAACATGCATCATTTGGTCTTCGAGCATTCCCTTGCTTTCTGGCCAATGACATTATGGGCTTACCTTGTATTTTCACTGGCTTAGATCTACGGCTAACATTTTTTTTTAAAGATCCCTGGCTTCTTTTATTGGAAAACTGTATTTAGTAACTAAGATTTTGGTGCTGGATATGGCATTGCTTCTAGGTCTTTTCAGTGGAGATAGCTAGGGATTATATTTTGAAATTATGAATCATATTGTTTTATATACTTATATTTGCAACAAAGATTTTCCTAATTTATTGGATTTTGTAATTTATTATATATTTATTTTTGCTCATATTGATTTCCTGTTTCTAATAACATCAACATATTTATTTAAACTTATATATAAGATAGATTTAAAAATATCATCTTCAAAATTATTTCAAAAATAAAACTACTTAGTAAACTTTACAATTTCTTTTTTATTCTTTTTGTATTTAAGATATAGTTTGCTAAATATTTGCAGAAATTAACTTGATTTTCAAGCTTATGATAAGCCTGGATATCTGTTACTGTGGGTTTAGTTATATGACACCAGTGCCTCCAAAATATGGTTCAAATTTCACCTCTAGATCATCAAATCACAACATAAGCAACAGATGTGCATTATAATCAGTGACCAGTCATGTCACTTTTTTCAGTCTGCTGCTGATTGTTCACTTCACGTTACTCAGTTAATGCATGCCAATGAAATCATGGAGTGATATTGCCTCTTTATCTTTCAGTGATACACTTATGTGAGATTTTGAAAAGTGAAAAATCAAAGGTGGAATTGACCAGTAGATGTAAAAGTACAACAAATAAACAAAAATGGCAATGTTGAAAGTGAAACTGAAATTCAACAGAAATAAAAGAAATAGCAGACTGGGGGGATATTGACTTTGACACCATGATGCCAGAGGAACTTAGTGATGGCAAACTTATCAATATAAAATGAGGATATTGGTTGTCAACTAGGTAAGTAGGTTGAAGGTTTTAAGTTTTCTCTACTCTTCCTCATTTTCTTCTGCCTATTCTAGAAATTTTTGAGCTAAGAAAGTTAAAATCTCCAAATATTATTTTAAATCTATTTGTGCTTTTCAGATTTGTCTTTCTTTTTGTTGTTGTTTCATTTATTTTGAAGGTCTGAATTAAGTACATGTACATTAGCTTTCTTAACATTACTGTTTGGATGATATATCTTTTTTTCCTCATATATCTCTGCTACATCTGTCTTCACAGGAAATATGTATTTCCTTTAGACACAATTTAGTTAGGTATTTTTTCTTACATTTTATCATACAACATCTACCTTTTAATTAGCATGTTTTGGCCATTTATATTTTACATAATTTTTAGTTTAGTTGGGATAATTCTAACATCACATTTGTTTTCTATTTTACTCATTTGGTGTTTCTTTTATCTCTTTGTTTTCTGTTTATTGGTTATTTTAAGAAATTCCACTTAATCTCCATTTTTAAATTAGCTAAAACTCTAATTTGTGAGTATGCAAGTTTGTGTCTTGCTGTTCTGAAGTCGTCTATATATATATATATATATATATATGATATTTATTTTATTTTATTTTATTTTTGAGATGGAGTCTCGCTCTGTTGCCCAGGCTGGAGTGCAGTGGCGCGATCTTGGCTCACTGCAAGCTCCACCTCCCAGGTTCACGACATTCTCCTGCCTCAGCCTCCCGAGTAGCTGGGACTACAGGCGCCTGCCACCACGCCTGGCTAATTTTCTATATTTTTAATAGAAACGAGGTTTCACCATGTTAGCCGGGATGGTCTTGATATCCTGACCTCGTGATCCACCTGCCTCAGCCTCCCAAAGTGCTGGGATTACAGGAGTGAGCCACTGCGCCCAGCACAATAAATATTTTTAACTTACCACATCTACTTTAAAATAATATGAAACCACTTTTTGTATAAAAAACAGAAATTCACATTTTCTTTTATATTTTTGATACTTTTTTGTAACGTATTTTACTTTTACATATGCGTTAGCCCCAAATTATATATATATATATCTGTTACATACATATGTGTATATATATGTGTATATATATATTTGTGTGTGTATGTGTGTGTGTGTATATATATACATATATATATATAAAACAGTCCATTGTTTTTTGAAAGCATTAAAAGTGAAGAAACAGTTTTAATCTCTGCCAACATATTTATTAATTATGGCACTCTCCATTAATTTATGAAATCATTGTTTGCTTCTGGTATCATTTATCTTTAATTTGAAGAACTTCCTATGCCATTTATTATTGAAAATATCTGCTGGCAATGATTTTCTCATCTTTGGTTTTTCTTAAATATTTTAATTAAAATTTAGTTTTTCAAAGATATTTGTGATAAGTATATAATCCTCGGTTATTTTCTCATTTCTGTCCTTTAAAGATATTTGTCAACTCTCTTGTGGCTTGTTTTTCACGTCTAGTTTGTTTTATTGCATACTAACATGGCATATTATGTTGATAGAGCATGTAGATTTTGTTGTCTGCCTTTCAGGAATTTGAAATTTGTTTTGGCAAAAAATTAAGTTACTTCCAGATAAATTGATTACTTGAGGCTTGCTTTATTTTTTATTATGGTGGGTCTAATATATACCAATGCTAATTTATACTTAATTCTAAGATTGACCTTCCTGGACACGCAAATGATCACTCACTGGTTATCAAGATCTCTCTGGTTAAATGGAATTTGAGCATCTCTAGGCTCTGTGTGTGTTCCAAGAATTCTTCAATCTGTACTTTCCTGGCAGTTGGTCTTTACTCATTCATATAATTTCACCTAACACATGTACATATTAACATTTAGAAAAGAGTCAAGAGAGCATGTGTGTAGATATCTGAAGAATTCTTTTTTATTGTTGTTTGTTTTTTGTGTAATTCACTTGTTTTCAGTACTCTGCCTCATAAATTTAAGCAGCCTTTTCCTCTGTCTTCCTAACCCAGAACAATCTCCATTGTGTTCCCACCTATTTTTCATGGTCCACCATTTTTCTCCTGACCAAAAACCAGAAGGATTACTAGAATTATCTAATTTGTTTTCCTTCTCTCAGGGACCACAGTTTCACACTGCTTATTGTTTCAATGCCTAAAAACAGTTGTGTATATACACTGTTCAAAGTTCTAGATTTTTAAGTCAGTATGCCAAGTTCTATGCTATAAACTCCTGCATACTCAGAAGCCATATAGTTTGTTTGCTTTTAAGCTTTTTTAGTGGCAGTGTTGCTATAGTAATGACTTATTAAATCCTAACAGAATGCGGAAGTCTATAATCAATTTTATTATTCAGTTTAGTTTTGTTTAAGCTTCCTGTTTTAAAAAATGTCTTTAATACATAACACATGACTATAAATAAAGATACTTAAAAACCACATTATGATTAAAACCACCAAAGCTGTTAGTGATTAATATACCAAGGGGATAAGTAAACTAATCAATAACCACCGATTTACTCTAATTAATTCTTTAGATTATATAATTTATTTTTTTCTAAAAATAGAGATTGAAACAGAACCATAACCACATGCATCTACTTAGGCTGTTCTATGTGCAGTTTGAGAAATCTGGACTAAATGGCCTTCAAAGAGTTTATATATTTATATATATTCAATAATTAATATAAAATGCATATAACTACATGTCATAAATATATATAAACAAAATTTGAGACATGTATGCTACTTTCAAGTTATTATTCTCCTGCCTATAACAACTGTGCCTCAGACTTCTTTTTTATAAAAATAATTTAAGTAGAATTATTTGTTGGTAGAATAATGAAGTGTCAGTACAAGTCTTCAGCTTTGCTTTCAACAAGTTTGCATCTCATAAACTCATCCAAACTAAAAATGTGATAGCTTGCTTCATGAGCAACATTAGATCAATGATGTATAAAGTAAAAATATCAAGAAGATATTGAAAAGAGATATTCAGGAATAAAAACCTGAAGAAAATATTGCACAGGTAGTTCTTTTTAAACTAATTTCTCATACAGCGTGACTATATCTGTCGCTGAAATTGTTCTTGCTTATAGTCACACTCTTAATAAATCTGTCATAAAAATTTACTCAAATAAATGTTACATAACATTGTGATTGCTAAATACAACTATTTAAAAATCTTCTGAATACACTTTTAACATGAAATAAATTTTAGTGGTGAGTGCCAAAGTGAAGCTCTAGAGGAAATGCAAAGTCTGTCTATACTTGTATAAGTAATCACCCTCCAAGGCTTATGTTCAATGTATCCCAACTTACAAAAATGACAAAATAAAGAGGTATAAAGGGAATTTCTTTGACCATTTCATAGATCATTTCTCTATGCTTCTTTTCTCTTCAAAGAATTATGTTTCAATAATTTGCAGCTATGGAAACAAAATATGTCCTTGGTACCTGTTAAGTACAGTGTGCCACAACTGTGCTCTTTGCTAGAAATACACCAATTCATAATGCTGAGATGCTTCCAGTCTGGCAAAAAAAGTAAAACAAAATGAAAACACAGTTTCACAGTTTCATTGTGTTCTTACTATTATTTGGCTGTTTATTGGCACCAATAGTGCTTTCACTTCCACATTCACTCTGTGTGTTTCATAGTGTTTTTCCCAAGTCCTATTTAGTGAAAATGCCCATTCTTCCAAAGTATTAATAACAATCTCAGCCATCAATTGGGAGAGCGTTGAGTTTTTTCAGCAATATAACATTAAGGTGTAAATGACTCATAGCCTAGATTTAAAGTATTAGTATCTGGAAGAATATTTTTATTTTTAATACAAAAGAATAAATCACTAGAAAAAGAATATTCACAATTCAAACTGATCTGGAGAATTGTTGACAGGCATTATTTCACCCAGGGAATTTTAAACAGAAGAAGAAGATTTGGGGAACAGGCAATATGTCAATTTATTCCTAAAAGAGACTGCTCATCAATTTGATAGCCATCACATTACAAATTAACTCCAAAGCCAATTTTTAATAAGTGATTTAATCTACTTTGGGAATTTGAAATTTGGGGCTTATCTTCATACATACATGTACACTTAGTGATTGGAGACAATTGGTATTATAAGTACCCTGTGGCACAACCTTCCAAAGAGGAGGATTAGCAAAAATTTATATTCAATGTACAAACATTTAATAGCAAATTGGCACTGAAAAGTCAAACAATGGGTGTTGGTAAACAAGAGGAACTTACTCTCTGAAATTAGCTTAGAAAACATATATTAAGTATAAGAAATTATCTTCCCACATAGACAATACAGAACAAACATTTTATTAATCAATTTAACCATTGTTTTCTCATTTCCTCACTGTCTCGTTTGTTGTTTTTATGACAGTGATAGATGCTCATGTGGACTTCAAAAAATTATACCATTTTTCTTTCTACCACTGAATTTTCCATGTTGATTGAGTTCAATAATATAATCTTGTGATTTAAAGACAGATTTTTAAAATGTGATTTTCACTGCATATTGTTTCTTCAAGGAACGGTTGTTTATCATGTATCATCATTTTTGTTTCTCCAGTTCTAAAAATAATTTTAACTCACATTTATGTCTGTGATTATAATGCTCATTTCTTGAACTTTTACATTACAGCCTTTCAGTTCTCGCATTTTTTACTTGCTCACTTTACTAGTGTATGTATTTATGTATTGATTTCAAGTAGGTGACCTGAATTATTTGAGTCCCTAAAGTATGTATGTATTTCTCTGACTTTCCTTAAAGAATACATTATGGCTGAGTGTACATTCTTGACCCCTCTGTAATCTTTTCAAAAATAGCATGAATGGTATTCACCTGTCTTATGGCATTTAGTATTGTTTGAGTAAATGTATAAGAAATCTAACTTTTGTTCTACAGCTGGCAAACTTTTTTTTTGCCAGCTGTAGAACAAAAGTTAGATTTTATTTTCAGGGAAAGTTTATAATGCTTGTTGTCCACAGCATTTTTATTTGGCCTATTTTCTTTCTTCTTTGATTAGGAGGGATTTAGTCTCATCCATATTTTTGCCAAAAACAGGTTGTGTGGTGGTCCTTGATCTTGTCCATCAAGTCCTTTTTCCCAAAGGATAACTGAAGAAGATCACATACATTCCAACTTATTGAGTCTGATAGGTATTCATCTGATGAGCTCCTCTTCAACTGAGGTAGAACCTTTTATTTATCCCACTATTCTCACTATTATAACTGATAAAGTGCAGTAACTTTCATTTTTCATCATGTAAAGCTGCCATGGACCTTGATGTCTATGTTTATTGCCTAGAATGTTTTATAAATGAAGTCAATAAATGACTTCCCCCATCCACATCCACTCACTAGCATTCTCCCAATTCTTATCTTATTTGTTATGTGATGGAGAATGAAAAAATAATGTATTGTGTGGGAAAGTGAGATGAGAGATAACTTAGTGTATTAATATTCTCTGCTGTATAAAGTTATTCCAAAACATAGGGGCTTAAATAATAAAAAGTGTTTATCATCTCACACAATTTATATTGCTCAGAAATTTGGGAGGCAGTTAGTTGGTTAGTTCTTGCTCAGGACTTCTCAAGGTTTTATAGCCAAGGTATTAGCAAGATATGCTGTCATTTTAAGGCTTAATGGGGCTGGAAGATTCAGCTCCAGGATTGTTCACTCACATGACTGGCAAGTCTGTACTTCCTGTGGGAAAGAGGCCATGGTCCCTTGACATATGGATTGTTCTGTAGTTCCATAGACTGCTGGGATATACAAATCGTAGTCTTTGTGCCCACAGGAGTGAGTGCTCCAAAAGGGAGCAAGATAAAAGTAGTAATAAAATGTCTTGAATGTTTTCAACTTGGAAGTCACACACTATAATATTTACAATGTACTATTATAAATTACATAGGTGAGGCCTATATTCAGTGAGGAGGAAACTGACCATACATGAATGTGACTATCAGGCTAAAGGAATCATTTGAGGCTTTAAATATATATATATACAGATTTAGGAGGTGCAAGTGTAGTTTTGTTACATGGACACATTGTGTAGTGGTGAAGTCTGGGCTTTTAATATAACCATCACCTAAATAGTGAATATTGTACCCAATAGGTAATTATTCAACCCTCACCCCCACTTCCACCCTTCCACCTTTTGGAGTCTTCAATGTCTGTTATACCCTTCTGTATGTTGATGTGTACCCATTGTTAAGCTCCCACTTCTAAGCAGGGATTTGACTTTCTGTTTCTGAGTTATTTCACTTAGAGAAATGGCCTCCAGCTCTATCCATGTTGCTGCAAATGACGTGATTTCTCTTTTAGGGCTACATAGTATTCCATGGTGCATTTGTGTTCATGTTTCATATTTTTTCTAAGTCCAATCATCTGTTGATGAACACAGGTTGATTCCATGACTTTGCTATTGTGAATAGTACTGTGATAAATATTTGAGTGCAGGCATTTTTTTCATAAGATTTCTTTCCCTTTGGGTAGATATTCAGTAATGGGACTGTTGGATCAAACACTAGTTGTCTTTTCAGTTATTCGAGAAATCTCTATATTGTTTTCCAAAGAGGTTGTATTAAGTTCCATCCCACCAACAGTGTATGAGGGTTCCTTTTTCTCAGCATTTTTGCCAACATTGAGTTTTTAACAATGAACATTCTGAGTGGTGTGAGATGGCGTCTTATTGTGGTTTAAATTTTCATGTCTGTAATGATTAGTAATGTGGAGAATTTTTTTTCATGTTCATTGGCCATTTATTTGTATTCTATTGAGAAATGTTTGTTCATGTCCTTTATTCACTTTTTAATAAGGTTATTCGTGTTTTTCTTTAGTTGTTTGAGTTCCTTGTAGATTCTGAATATTAGCCCTTGCTGGATGCACACAGTGAAAGAAAATGTTATCCTAATATTATCTGTGTAGTTTGCTGATTATTTCTTTTGCTGTGCAGAAACTTTTTAGTTTAATTAGGTCCTATCTGCATATTTTTTGTTTTCTTGAATTTGCTATCGAGGACTTAGTCATAAATTTTTTGCCTAGGCCAACGTCCAGAACAGTTTGTTTCATTTTTTTCTCTGGGATTTTTGTAGTTTTAGGTCTTACATTTAATTCTTCAGTCCATCTTGAGTTAATTTTTATATATGGTAAGAGATATTGATCCAGTTGAAGGCTGGCACCACACCTAGGTTCCCCACAAAAAGCCAAAACGGTAGAAATTTTACTCGCTAGTTTTACCTTTGGAGTGGGCCTTGCATTGCTAAGACTCAGAGCAAAGAGTGGCTAAAGATTAAATTACCTTTTGATTGAGATTCTTAGCCTTTTACTTTTAGCCTTGTATCTGTGGCAGTGCTTATGACTTCGCTGTTCGTGGGCTTATTGAGTATTTGGGCCTGGTTTCTTAAATGGATTGTGTTTAGTAAATATTTGGTTTTGACTGTGATATTGCAAATTCTAAATGTCAATGTTATGAGTTTTCAAATTGATGTCTTTATATGTAATCTCAGAGAAATCGACCCAGTGATTATTTGTCATATGCTTTTCTTTATCTTCCTCATAAAAGTAAGCTTAATTTTGCTAACTTGTGTTATTCAATTATATGTAGAAAAATTAATTAATATTAAGAATGTTAATGTTATTCAGACTGATGAAAGTGTTTCCAAACCTGACACACAAGGGAAAACTGATCACTATGTATATTTACTTACAATATTATTTTTGTTTTAATTGTTTTATATGTATTTTCCATTAATTGTTTTTAAAAAATGTGCATTATAAAAGAACCTCTTCATAAAAAAATGTAAATTCCAGTTGAATGGGCAAAATATATGTAATAAAAGAAAGACTATGGTAGTTGTCAAAGTATGGGAAGTTTGAGATGATACAATTATTAGATAAAACATTTTTAAACTATAGAGAGAGAAAATGTTTTTTGTAATTTGTTAGTAAGTTGACTTTTTTTAATATTATATTTAAAGAGAGTAGATTTAAAAGGTGTACCACAGGTCATTTTCATGTGTATTTTAAGTGAAGTGGAGGGACTATACTTATATTTTTACTTACTGACTTTGATGATATAATGTTTGATAACAGAAATTTTTAGCACTCTGTAAATTATTGAACTATTTCATTTCCAGGATTGAAATGCTGTTTTTCTTCCCTGGTACAATGTTAAAGCTTTAAACTCTTGTCAATGATGTGATGTTTCATCTGCAATGATCTACACTAGAAAAATAAAAATGTAGTTACTGACAAAAAAGCAGGTAAGAAAAATAATTTTTTTACTGATTTATGGATATCCTACTTTCATATATAATATTGCTTGAATCCATGTAATTTTCTGGAAGAATATCGAAAAAATACTAATTTTGTTCAAATATTTGACTATAAACCCACTTTCTATTTTTTATCCCCTAAAGAAACATTAACTGAACTAGTACATATCTTTAGTAAATGATATGACCAGCATGAAGAAAAATCAAGAGGAAAATGTAAATAATTAAAATTACTAACAAAAGTACTAGCAGCTATTAGTTTGGTGCAAAAGTAAATGGTTTTTCCTATTACTTCTAATGGCAAAAAACACAATTACTTTAGGACCAAGTGCATACATTGTTATTTTGATTAGAGTGTGATCCGCTTTATATGATTCATTTGCTACAATTCAACTCCAGAAAATATGCACATTTGATATTTTTTAAAATCTAACTATATTCCTCAGAAAGCTTTGAATCTATCTATATATTCATTTATATATTCATTCAAACATATTTGTACTTTCTTCTCATTCTGTTTTTCTACCCGAATGAAATTAACTTATATTTTTAAACAGAAAATAATTATTTCATAATATAAGATCACATAGTTGTTTTAAATAAGAAGTATTGTATTGTCAATCCAACTTGTAAACTCAATCATTTTGGAAATATGGTGGTACCTCCAAATGGACAATTATTTAAAGACACTTCAATAGTTTTTAATAGATTTCAGTCATTAATCTTTCTCTAAATATGAAGCCATACTGTTACTTGAGAAAGACTGCCAACCAAGCTGGTGGCTGAATAATTCATAGATTATAAAACTGTGTCTCTTTGTTTTAATATATAGTGTTGTCTTCTTAAGATATTCATTTTTAAAAGGTATTTACAAACCAAGTTACTCAAATACATATCTTAGCAAGATATCTGCTATACATAGAAATGTATGTGTTAATGATAATCATCAATATAATGCCAAGTTTTCATAAAATATATGAAGTTTTCAAGAATATTGGTGCATTTATAAAATCATCAAAAGTTTAAATTTTGAAACCTACTCTTCTGTCTTAAGGACTCCAGGTTTTAGATGCTAATTTCCATTGGTCCTGTACTATTTGTACAGATTTTGGGCATCATAAAGAATATATGGAAAGAGAAAGAAGTATTGGCTCATATGCAACTTATACAATGTTTGTTAATAATATAATCTTTCGTATCACATTTGTTCTCTAAGAAACTTTGATATATAAGGATTAAGGTATAAAAGCATAAGGCGACTACTGGTAATACATAATGCTGAAGAAATGCTAAAAAAATATGATCGAACACATGCATTTTGTTATCACCTTCCCAGTTCCGGTAGGTTGCATTTCAGCAGGGATGGTGGGAAAAAAAGTCATATAAATTACCAATTAGTTTTTCAGGAAATTCTAGTGGCAGGTTGGCAAGGAATTTTTTTATTTGTTAGAGAGAAAGCTTGAGTTGACCCTGGGTAAATGGATATTGCCAAAGGAAATCAAACTTAAGTTGTTGAAAGTACATGTCAAAAAAGGCTGCCTGCAGGGACAAGGGCAGCCTTGGAGAAAAAGGCTGAAGGTGTATTACCTTGGATATGATTGATAAGAGGCTCACCAGTGGGAGCCCAGTTTGAATTGAACATAGCAATGATTCTTATAGCTGAAAATTCCCAAAAAGTCTTGGCATTTTTTTGACATGTCACCAACTATCAAAGAACTAGATCACAGACTGAGTCCAAAGGCAGTGGTAAGGAAAAAAAATGAAAAAGACAAAGAAAAAAATTTATCCCTATGCCTAAAAGTGCCAACTCTTTCAGAGAATTTGCATTTTGTACAATAAATAGTAATCACACAACCAAAGAAGTAAGTATTCTACTTTTAAGACTGAATAATAGATACCCTATTTTTTTTAACAAGGAGTTCTTCCTGATATCTTTTTAATCAGACTGTCAATTTCTCCAGGAAGTTTTTCTATTCTTTAGTACCATAGGCTCTGATAATGAGCCATACCAACTTGTTAACAATAAAGAAAACACATTGGAAATGAGTGTGTTTAGATTATATCACCAATTTTCATGTTTTAATTTCTTTTGTTAAAAGAAAAACTTCAGCCGAATTAAAGTTAAAGGAGTTTAATTGAGCAATAAACGATTTATGAATCAGACATCCCCCAGAATCACAGCAGATTCAGAGACTCTAGGGGTGCATCATGGTCAGAACAAATTTATAGACAAAAAAAGTAAAGTGATGTACAGAAATTGGAAGTGAGGTACAGGAATGGCTGGGTTGGTTACAGGTTGGCATTTGCCTTATTGGAACACAGTTTAAACACTCAGCAGGGTATGACTGGTTGAAATGTGGCTGCTGGGATTGGCCAAGACTCAGCTATTGTTACAGGTGCTACTCCTAAGTTAGGTTTTCAATTTTGTCTACCTATTAAGTAAGTTAGATTGCGTTCACCCACAAGGACTCAAATATAGAAGTATGAGATCCTTCTCAGGCCATATGTAGTTCACTTTAGCAATTCCCCTCTTTTGGTCATTTTCTCAATTTTGAGAGATTGAACAAAACTCTTGTCATTGATGTCAGTATCAACACCATAAGTGTACTTATTTGGTCTTTAAGCCCACTGGAAAATAGTAGAACAGTGAGTTTTGTAAAGGTAGGAGCAAGGACTTGAATAGAGGATACCTCCTTATGTTAGAACATCCTGTTTACAGGAGAAAAACAAAACCTGATCTGCTCTAGGCACAGTTAGTTAGCATGACCAACTTCATTTTAGTTTGGTTTCGTCTGTTGGGGTCTAGTGCATTAGCTTAGTCTAAAACAATGGTTTCTCATAATTTTGTTTTTAAAATTTCCCCTTTTTGGTCAGGTTCTCACTTTGGTGAAAGTGTGACCACAACTTAGGGCCTTAGCATCATTTTCAGTTACCATCATTTTGAGTTTCCTGTCTCAGCACCTCATTCATAGGTTACAGTGTCCTCATGGTTGTGTGCTTCTTTCAACTCTTGTAGTTCCAGTTAAAGACAGACCATTTGCCATTCTAGAGGTGGCAGAATGCAAACATTTAGAACCTTTGAGAAAATACAGTGTACCAGGGAAACTATTATTACTATCGGGAGGATAATACCAAGAGTTTGGAGTATGCTTCTTATTCAGACTCCCCATAAACCAAACCACCTAAAATCGAAAAGAGTAAAGAATGAGTTAGATAGGGAGTCTACTTGCTTAACTAGGTGATCTTTTTGTTTGTTAATATCCTACATCTGAATCTCTCTCTATAATCTTCATTTAATGTAGTTCTTCATAGGCCACAATTCAATTATTTAGCGTAACTTTCACAAGATAATTTAATAAGTCTGTTGTGTGACCACAGCCTTTACAGTAGAATCTGCTATAGAACCTATCATGAGGGATACATTTCTGGTTATTACCTCTTTTACTCCAAACGATGGAAAAATGATGCCCTTCTAGAAGAATGAAGGCCTCCTAGCAATCAATATTCTCTTTAATCCTTGATGTGGGTAAGAATAGTAAATCAATGTTCTGTTTCTGACTGAATATGAAGAAAAGTATGTACCATTAAAGTTTCTCACCTGCATTGGGCCTTCATCTTTTATCTATGTATAAGGCTGGCTACAAAATCCTTCACAGATAAAAGTATACCACATAAGTGCACTAAACAGACTCCTATCTTATTTCTATTACTCATAGAGGCATAAACAAGAAAAAAAGTTCAAAGATAAGAGTCTCATGATAGTAGAGAAGTCTTGATCCGTGATCTTGGGAAAAGCTGTTCACATCAAGCATGCAATCTTCTTCTGGGGAGAGACATTCCTGTTTAACTGGACCTTAAGGGTTCCAATGGGTGTACAGTTCCATGAGTGTGGAGGGACCCTTCTCAGTTGTGAGATTATGAACCCACAGTTCAAGTTCCAAAGTTTTATTGCAGTAGGGATGGCAAAGCAATCTTTCCCTGATGTTTTCAGATGATCCAGTCTTCAGGTTCTAGATTGTGAAGGGGTTGGCTGTCCTCAGTGAACCATAAAAAACTCATTTTGCTTTACCTGGTGAAAATACACTGAAGCATAAGAATTTACTGTTATAACATCAGCCCTCTTACATGGGAGACCTTTATAGAATCAGAAAACATGCATAGAAAATGACCATTGAATGAAACCCCCTTATAAAATGTTTAAAATGTACTTGAAGCTTTGATTATTTTCTTAGGAATATGGGCTTGACAAACCAAACAATGGTTATAAGCTATTTTAGCAATTTATAAGTTACCACACCAATATATTTGATTTAGATTATTTTATTTTTTCCATGATAAGTCACAGAATGCAGGACTTTTAATAATAAAAGTTTTAAGGGCTCAGGAAAGACAAGGCAGCTGTCCCGATTTTCCATGAGTCAATGCTTATCATTGGACCTATGTCCCGACCTATGTCCCCTTGAATAACAGTTATTTTTACAATTAGGTGCAAATAACTGATAACTGATGGGTTATCATAGGTAATATGACTTAGACCTTGGAGTTCATTCAAACTGTATATCTAAAAATTTCAGTATTGTCTGATGTAGCATGCAAGTTTGGCAAAGTATTTACTTGGCATTTAAATAATTGTCATTCTACTTGTGTTAGTAGTTTTATAAACCAGTCTTTTTATTAAAGTTTCAGGAATTCTTACCCTAAAGTTTCAGGAATTCTTACCCAGTCCAATTCTTGGGGAATTGGAGAATTCATGGGAAATTCTTACACATGATATGATTTTATATTTATTGGATACCTGTATTCAAGAGTGCTTTTCAGGGTCGTTTCCATCCTTTAATGAACCTCCTAAAAGATACCATATGAAAGGATTTTATGTGAAGTTTTCAGGAACTGCATCAGCATTAAGCAATTAACTGTGGAAATGCCTTTAAATGGTTAAAGACACAATAGACAAGGAAATTTGATTATATCTGTGGTCTACAAAAACTTAACCATAATTATGATAGATAACAAATACTCAGACATAGTAGAATTTTAGAAATCCCATACAATTTTGGAATATATTGATGACATATGCTAAAATATAAACTGAAGAAGGTTAAACATTCTCTCTTATTTTGACACTGCTTCCCATGCAACCTAGCATATCAAATAGCCCTGTTTGTTTACCTCTCTTTTGGGTGCTTCAGGGGCCCTCTCTAGCACCCTAAAGTTAGAGGTCAGAAAAGATAATTTTGATGCTGAAACTTGACTTTGGGAAGCCTATCAGATATGCTAAAGGTCTAAAACATTTGATATTATGAAATAGAATTCCAGGTCACCATAAATCATTTATTTAGCCAAAATAACGACTCAAAAATTTTTTAAAAGGCAAAAATCTTTACTCATTGAGAGAGGGAAGACTTAGCTTTCCAAATAATCTGTCTCTTCTCTTTCCCTTCTTTTTTCAGTAATTTATTCAAAAGGCAAAGAAAAATTTATCATTATGCTTTAATATTACATGGAAATCTTGTTCGAGAGACAGCCAAATATCACCCTTGCATTAGTCTACTATTAATGTCTACTTCAATTTTTAATAAAACCTTATAGACAAATCTATCCAATCTTAATCAGTTTTACCATAAGGTGAGATTCTCATAAACATATTATAACCTTTTATAATTTGTGTGAAAGAGCAGATTGGTGCTCTAAGAAAAACCTGCTGTGTTTTTATTCCAATGTTCAATTTAGAGAAAAACTTAATAACACCCCTTTAACTTTAGCTAATGTTCACACAGAATTTCTTTTTACAAGATTATTTTTTCATAAGCCTTCTACAACTTTTTCAAATATTTATCTTTATTTTATCAAATTTAAAACAATTCTTTAGGCTTGTAATCTAGGCAAAAGCATCCACATTTTCATGCCTTCTTATAATTTTGTACCAAAAACACATTTCACTTTCCTTACACACCTTGCATGTAAAACTGTTTGTTTTTTTTTAGTAATCTGAATTACATGCTACAATGTTAACTCTTAGAGACTTTTACTTCTGGTGAAAAACTTGGGAAGTAGGAAATTTTAATTATGTACTAGGTGTGAAGCCTAGGACACAGACAGAAGTGCAGATAAGGTCTGACTCTTTCCAGCCTTTCCAGAGTAGTTTAGTTAAGAGGAGTGTCTAACTTCACCACTTGTCACATGCCTTACCTAGCTGTAAAGCAGGCAAGTTGTACAACATTTTTTGCATAAATTCTCTTTCACAAATTCTTTCATGACTTATGCAGACCATCTACGACATGCTTGGACTTTCTGACTTGCCTTAACTATCCCTCTTTTAAAAAAACTAGTCATTTTACTTCAGGACAAGAATTTGCCACACAAGAAAGATCTTTTCTTATATAAAATCTCTTTTGTTTATAACCTTATTTGTATGGCTAGGGGAGATGGCTAATTCCACATTTCCCAGGACTTATCTAGAGTCTAGTGCTCCAAAATATGTAAACTGAACAATTTTCAAAAGTCAAAGAAGCAGTTTATAACCTTAAGGTGTTTAGCAAATCTAATATGTGACCTGCATAATCTAGACCAAATGTTTACATTTTTGAAGATATTTTTATTTAACAAATCATCTTTAAAACTGTCTTTAGTTCCCAAAGATTACTAAAGTCACATAAACTAAAAGGCATTAGTTTTTACTTGTTTTTCAAAATACTTGATCTAACTACTTATTTTTCTTTAAGCCAATTAATTAGAGCTCTTTTATATAAACATCACACACACACAACACATATATAACTACACAGAAGAAGATCCAGTAATTGTAGAATTTTTCATTTGCCAGTTTTTAAGTTTTTTCATTGAATTATTAACTTTAAGGTGGAGTCCTTTTAAATCTCTTATTACCTCACTTTAGCCATGCCAAACTGCCAATATATCTGGCTTTTGAACTTTATCAAAAGTAACCTCCCAGGTTCTTAGACAAAGGAAAATTCAAGACAGTTCATGAAGATGAAGAGAATTAACAAATGGTAAAAGTCATGCAGATATCAAGCCAGAAAAGATTCATTTCCTAAGCCACGAATTGAACCCTGGCTGCCATTGTGATGGTGGAGACAAAGAGAAAGTACTACCACATGGTTAAAAGGTGAAGCTCCCTAGAACATAACTGAACAGTTTGCTGGGCCATCTTGATCAGTGGGCTTATAGGTGTCCTAAGCTCTCATTCTATGCTAAGGTACCCCTCTTTATGACAGAAAGATACAGAAGATGAATTCATAGTACAAAGTAAACCATATTCACTACAGCTTAAGATTAGCCTCAAAATTCTTTTTTACATTGATTAAAACTTTATAGAGGAGATAAAGAGTGATTTTTACCATTCATTAAACCAGTTGGCAGAGAGAGAGAGTGAGGTCAGCAGTCTAACTGGTAAGAAATTCTTACTTTTTTGCTGGCATGTCATGACCTGCGTTCCCCTTTCCCGAGCAGCCCTAGTGACCCTGCTTGCTACACTTTAGTTCCAGGAGCGAAGCTGCATCACAAAGAAAAATCATGAAACCACAGGCAAAATCTTCTCAGTTTTGCAAAATGCTTCCCAAGGGGTTGTATGGGATAACCAAATTAGCATTTTCCATTCTGGTCAGTGCAAAATATGAGTGACAAATATAGACATTAATTAGCCACTCTGCTTAGCACCCAATATCAAACTAGGAAGGCTCAAACTTGCCCCTAGATGGGCCCCATCATATCTAAATCATTTTAGAAGCTTCTGCATATTAATAGGCATCCCTAGGTGAGACTAATTTGCAAGCTCTCATTTTTAAATACACTTGTGTGTTGTTCATTTGGCACATTCCACTGTAAGTTTTCTTTAGTAAGATTTCACCATTTCTGTAAGACTTTGCTGCTTCCTGGGCCTAATGTATAAGCTGGAAGAAACCCAGTTTTTCAGAAATTAATTATCCATTTTTACCTAATTTATTGGCTTTGCTTTCAGGTTCCCTTGACTAATTCACCCAATGATTTTCTTCCTACTTAAGCATGTGAGAAAAATGAAACAAAGGGGTAGAATGCAAAAATCCCTATGAATTTTCAAAAGCCAAATCTTACAACCCTGCAATATTACCACTTACTACCAGTTTCTTTCTGACCCAGTCAGATGTAAGAGGCCTCTAACTGGATCCAAGCCAGTTAATTACAAGATCAAATTTGATCCTGGACTCAGTCCAGCTTCTGTCATGACTTCCAAACCCAATTTGGAACAGAAATTTGCTCAAATAAACTTGGAGAGCTCAAAACACAAATCCATGGAGCTCTGAAATTCAAGAGGACTTACCACAATTCCCAACTGCTCTGAGAGTTCAAAGGACACAGTGGGTCCAGCAGGTCTCTTGCTTGTTCACTCTGCTCATGGGAGTTGTTAGCAGCCGTACTTCAGACCCCATTTCTAACACACCTGTTTTTAAAAAAAAGCTTTCAGGCAAATTAAATTTAAAGGAGTTTAATTGAACAATTTGTGAATCAGGCAGCCCCCAGAATCACAACAGTTTGAGAGAGACTCCGGGGGTGCCTTGTGGTAAGAACAAATTTATAGACAAAAAAAGTAAAGTGACATAAAAATCAGAAGTGAGTTACAGGAATAGCTGAATTGGTTATTATAAGAATGGGGGGGGCAGAAAAATTCTAGGCAGAAAAATTCAGGTACCCAACAAAACCCCATCCTCAAGCTGAAAAACCTAAAACTGTAGCTCAAAGTGAGAACTTTTATCCCTATTGTCTTTTCCTAAACTACCCATGGCCTACTCCACCCTACATCCTGTGCCTATAAAGACCCCAGACTCAGCTGTCAGAGAGGAGAAGCAGCTGGATGCTCGGGACTAAGGCTGGACACTGGAGAGAAACGGCTTGACTTCCGAGGGACAGCTTGATGGTGTAACTTCAGATAATAATCTAATCTAAAGGGGAAGATTCTTCAGGGGAAGATTACCTGCCTACCCCATACCTTTTTCAGCTCCCCTACCTGCTGAGAGCTACTTTTTTCAGCAATAAAATCCCACACATTTACTATCCTTCAATTTGTTCATTTGACCTCATTTTTTCTGGACATCAGACAAGAGCTCAGGAGCCACAAGTGGGGATACAAAAGGCTCTCACACTGGCCCTTTGCACTCATGGGAAGAACGCAGCTGCCTCAAGCATAAAAGTAGAGGGCCCACTGAGCTGTTAACACTTAAGCAATCTAGGGACAGCAAAGCTAAAGAGCACTGTTTTATGCCTTCTGGGGCTTCAGGGGTCACAGACACCTGCACTAGATTCTCCCACAGAGCCAACATGGAGTTTGCTCCTGCCAGCACCTAAAAGTACTTGCTGTGGCTCCTGCACTCACTCACCTGTGTGCTTCCTCCCGTGAAGGGTGAAACACAGCGGGTCCAAGTGAATGGAGTTTGTTTCTGTGGGTGCCAAAGATGCCAGCTGATTCCAGCCCTTGAGCACTCCAGTTCTTGCCTCATTTGCTCTCGCACTTCCTCCTGCAAAGAGTTGAGAGTGGCAGGCTGAGTAAAGGAGGTGAGACCCCTGTCGCGAGTCCCATGAAGGGGTAAGGGAAATCCTCCTTCAGGTACAGGTTGGTGTTTACCTTATTTGAATACAGTTTGTTTGAATACTCAGCAGTGTACGAGTGGTTGACATGTGGCTGCTGGGATTGGCCAAGACTCAGCTGTTGTTACAGGTACATACTCCTAAGTTAGGCTTTCAATCTTGTCTCCCTATTAAGTTAGGTTGCAGTTCATCCACAAGGATTCAAATATAGAAGTATGAAATCCTTGTCAGGTCATATTTAGTTTTTATTAACACTTTAAATGTACCTCAGAACCACCAATAAAGGAGAGCTAGGCTTGGTGGATGGAGTTCTGAGCTATAACCTAGTTTGATTACAAACAGCTTCTTTGATGGCTAATTATATGTTTAATGTTTTAGTATTTTTAAAAATAAAAGTTTTCAAGGCTAAATGCATTATAAAATTACTTGAAATAAATTAAAACTGGGAACAAAATAGGTTTACTCACATGGAATCATATAAATATTAAACAGAAGGTCAAGGATCAGTGATTACATGTAAAAAACAGTTTACAATGTATCTAAAAATAAGCATGTATTAATAACTGACAAGTTAACTGTTTTGTCCAAATAAATTATTGTATTAAAATAGTTTATTCTTCATTTCTAAGAGATGTGATTTGTAATTTAACAAAGAAGTGCCACTAAGAATCAGAGATTACAAGTGTCAAAACCAATTCACTACAATAAGAAAAAAAATGATTTGACGCAATTTCCTTATGTTGCTGAGACTCAATTTTTGTATTTTGTTTAATACATTTTTTGACGTTTTAATTGCATTTGAATTGGCTCATTTTAGTGAATGATTTTTTATTCATTCAGTCTAGTTTTCTCTGTTCCTCTTCAATTTCTTGTCTCAATTATATTCTGTGAAATGAAAGTCAACTAGATTTTGTATGCTGTGAAGCAGAACCAATGGTGCCAAATATAATTTTAACGTTATTGTCTATTCTTAATGTATAATTCAAATAATTAACGTTTTATGTTGTTGTGAAAATCTGCTACAAGGATAAATTAGTTTGTTGGTAGAAATTTGCTTTATTTTTCTGATTCATCCCTCCCTAAAGTGTTCACCTAATATAATTAAATTTTTTTTCTCATTGGAACAAAAACAAAAACTTAATATTATGAATTACATACTTATCAGTTATCAGTACAATAAATTATATTAGTCATGCAATTTACATTTCCAAAGTTTGCTTTGTAAGAGACATATTGTAAAGGAATGCATGATTTAAATATTACTTTTCTTGCAAAAAATTTAAATAAATATTTTAGTCATTTTAAGATATTAGCCAATCAAAGAAAACAAGCCTTATAAAAGTTCACATGTTAAAAATTCTTCTAGAATACAGAGTGAAATGACTTCCCTGCTTTTAGTATATTTTGAATTTGTGATGAGAAAAGACTCAAGAGGAAAATAAGCTGGGTTTAGTACAGCTCAACATCATCTCAAATATTTATGTACAATAGATGTTTCTTTGGGAAAACAGTTATTTGGGGTCCATTATTATTTGCTTTTTTGTAGACTGTATTTCAATTTAAAGAGCAGGTTATATTTAGAAGGAAGTAGTTATTTCATTTTTCTATTATCATTAGAAACATCACCTTTGGTGAAAAAAATTAAAAAGAGATTGTGGCAAATGGTCATAAATTTGGTCAGGGAAAAAGGTTATCTTAAGGTCAGGGAGTCAATCTGCTGTGGCTTCCCAGAGACGGCCAAAACTCTTCAAGTGATGCCAAGATGATAACTCCAGACAAGTTGAACCCACACAAGTATAGGGTAAGAAAGTGGTGATAAGACTTCAGTAAAAATTTCATAGTAAATCTTGCCTCAAAATCTAGACATGTACTGCTTTGTGGAATTAGGTGTATGAATACAAAAAGGCAAGTTAAAGTTTTTCAAATTTTGCTATTTATGTAAAAAAATTTTAAAGAATGCTATAATTGTATTGATGGCTTATTTTAGCATTAAAATACAGAGAGTTGTGGATATAAAATGTTGAGTACAAATACATACTACATTTTAATTTTCATGTTAAGAATTTATGCAGAAACTTTGGAGAAATATTTAAAGTTTATTTTTTCTGATATTTGATGTCAGTTATAATATAAAGAAAAATTATATTAAAATCAAGAGTTTTTAATTTCATTGTCATTTGCTTTGATTTTTAATAGTTTAATACACATTCAAAGGTTTCCCCTGAGAAATGTGTGTCACAGATGTGCAGCTTACTGTTCATATTAGTTATTCTCATATCAATTAATTTGCATGCCAGCTGTTCCTTTATTAAAATTTTCTTAAAAGTTATAAAAGATAGCAAAATGCTCAAGGCAGTAAGGAACTG
This sequence comes from Homo sapiens, assembly GCF_000001405.40. NCBI lineage: Eukaryota > Metazoa > Chordata > Mammalia > Primates > Hominidae > Homo > Homo sapiens. The sequence goes on from NC_000002.12 coordinate 194,389,295, forward strand.
AGCCTTCTTATTGTGCATAACACAGGTAGAGCTGAGATATTAAAAATATTTAACTTAAATTTTAAAACATTTTAAAAAATATATTTTGATTTTGAAAAATAAGACATGTTTGGATAAAACCAAAGTTGTAATCTCCAGCAGGTTTTTAAAAAATATTGGGTGTATACAAAATTATTAACCTGCTGTCTGTTGAAATGTGTGATCCTGTTAAAATTGCACACACATTTTGTGTCTGTGCATTCGAAGGGGCCAAGGGAAGAAAGGGAATGAGTCAGTTAGGTAATATTTAAGCTTTCAAAGGACTGAATCTTTGGTACAAATAGGGTTAAGATAACGGTGTTATTTCATATCTAATCCATTCATTGAGAAAATCTGTATTTTAAATATAAATATCCATTTTAAAATTCAAGTCAAGAAACTGTTGTGATGTACTTATTAATCAACTAAACAAAGAAGTACTTTTACAAATCACATCCTTATTCCACAAAGTTGGAGTTTGATTAAAAACAGCAAAATTTCACTTTGAAAGAAAACAAAAGAGGAGAGAGTAGTGCTGAAGCTAACCATATGCAACTAAAGGGAAAACTAGGGTGACAAAACTGATAATTATTTTATAGTCATTACTGTTAAAAAAAAAAAAAACAAAAAAGGCATGCTATATCCCAGACTGCAAACAAGCTATTGACATAGCTCTCCTGCAGTATAGAGAAATCCGCTTGAATTCATTTTTCCGTTGACAATTGCAAACAATATAATAGTTTGTGTAATTGGCTAATTGCAGGTTCGGTGAGCCTTGCTTGTTGTAAAATAATGATGGGCAGGTGGCTAATGGTTGTTAAAATTATTTCCACACACAATAAAATGTATGGGTTTAAAATTGAGGTTGTAAAGAGAAAAGTCATTCTTGTTAAATTCTGCCTTTAGTTATTTAACACAGATTTAACAAGTTTGTACAAAAGTATCAAAACCATTATATCTTGTAAAATGTCCTATTTTGCAAGAGATTTTTCACAATTATTTTCTCACAAAAGTTGTGGGAAAAAGTAGTGGGAAGTATCTTTATAAGCTAGGGAAGCATTTTTAGATTTCCCAACATGAGACATTTGTTAATTAATGTGTTAATTCAGATAAAAATACCAAATAATTGGCAACTACAAATTTGCTTTATTTTTGACAGAGTAACTTCAAACAGACATGGCGGCACTTGGGATTCTTTATAAGACCAGATAGAGAGTTCTAATGCGTCAGGTTAAAAACTATATAACTATATGCCAAAGAGCAAAAGTTCTGAGCAAAGCAACATGACATAAATGTTTTCTGAACAATATTCCTTTACTGAAAATAACACTAAGATTCTTAATTTCTTCAGAATATTTTGGGGCAGAAAACATGAAGTAATTAATGATCTGCATGGTTTTGTTAAATAAAAATTTTCATAAGCCTATTAAAATATCATTTATTAAAATATTGACATTATCTGTGTAGTACAATTGATTGTAGGTGGACTTCTTTTTTCATCAATCAATTTGTATTTGAAAATTTAGGATCACACATAACAATATTAACTTTAAATGTAAATGGACTACATGCTCCAATTAAAAGACACAGACTGGCAAATTGGATAAAGAGTCAAGACCCATCAGTGTGCTGTATTCAGGAAACTCATCTCACGTGCAGAGACACACATAGGCTCAAAATAAAAGGATGGAGGAAGATCCACCAAGCAAATGGAAAACAAAAAAAGGGCAGGGGTTGCAATCCTAGTCTCTGATAAAACAGACTTTAAACCAACAAAGATCAAAAGAGACAAAGAAGGCCATTACATAATGGTAAAGGGATCAATTCAACAAGAAGAGCTAACTATCCTAAATATATATGCACCCAATACAGGAGCACCCAGGTTCATAAAGCAAGTCCTGAGTGACCTACAAAGAGACTTAGACTCCCATGCAATAATAATGGGAGACTTTAACACTCCACTGTCAACATTAGACAGATCGACGAGACAGAAAGTTAACAAGGTTACCCAGGAATTGAACTCAGCTTTGCACCAAGTGGACCTAATAGACATCTACAGAACTCTCCAACCCAAATCAACAGAATACACATTTTTTTCAGCACCACACTACACCTATTCCAAAATTGACCACATAGTTGGAAGTAAAGCTCTCCTCAACAAATGTAAAAGATTAGAAATTATAACAAACTGTCTCTCAGACCACAGTGCAATCAAACTAGAACTCAGGATTAAGAAACTCACTCAAAACCACTCAACTACATGGAAACTGAACAACCTGCTCCTGAATGACTACTGGGTACATAATGAAATGAAGGCAGAAATAAAGATGTTCTTTGAAACCAATGAGAACAAAGACACAACATACCAGAATCTCTGGGACACATTCAAAGCAGTGTGTAGAGGGAAATTTATAGCACTAAATGCCCACAAGAGAAAGATCCAAAATTGACACCCTAACATCACAATTAAAAGAACTAGAAAAGCAAGAAAAAACACATTCAAAAGCTAGCAAAAGGCAAGAAATAACTAAGATCAGAGCAGAACTGAAGGAAATAGAGACACAAAAAACCCTTCAAAAAATTAATGTATCCAGGAGCTGGTTTTTTGAAAGGATCAACAAAATTGATAGATAGACCGCTAGCAAGACTAATAAAGAAAAAAAGAAGAATCAAATAGACGCAATAAAAAATCATTAAGGGGATATCACCACCGATCCCACAGAAATACAAATTACCATCAGAGAATACTACAAACACCTCTACGCAAATAAACTAGAAAATCTAGAAGAAATGGATAAATTCCTTGACACATACATCCTCCCAAGACTAAACCAGGAAGAAGTTGAATCACTGAATAGACCAATAACAGGATCTGAAAGTGTGGCAATAATCAATAGCTTACCAACCAAAAAGAGTCCAGGACCAGATGGATTCACAGCCGAATTCTACCAGAGATACAAGGAGGAACTGGTACCATTCCTTCTGAAACTATTCCAATCAATAGAAAAAGAAGGAATCCTCCCTAACTCATTCTATGATGCCAGCATCATCCTGATACCAAAGCTAGGCAGAGACACAACCAAAAAAGAGAATTTTAGACCAATATCCTTGATGAACATTGATGCAAAAATCCTCAATAAAATACTGGCAAACTGAATCCAGCAGGACATCAAAAAGCTTATCCACCATGATCAAGTGGGCTTCATCCCTGGGATGCAAGGCTGGTTCAATATACGCAAATCAATAAATGTAATCCAGCATATAAACAGAACCAAAGACAAAAACCACATGATTATCTCAATAGATGCAGAAAAGGCCTTTGACAAAATTCAACAACCCTTCATGCTAAAAACTCTCAAGAAATTAGGTATTGATGGGACATATCTCAAACTAATAAGAGCTATCTATGACAAACCCACAGCCAATATCATGCTGAATGGGCAAGAACTGGAAGCATTCCCTTTGAAAACTGGCACAAGACAGGGATGCCCTCTCTCACCACTCCTATTCAACATAGTGTTGGAAATTCTGGCCAGGGCAATTAGGCAGGAGAAGGAAATAAAGGGTATTCAATTAGGAAAAGAGGAAGTCAAATTGTCCCTGTTTGCAGATGACATGATTGTATATCTAGAAAACCCCATTGTCTCAGCTCAAAATCTCCTTAAGCTGATAAGCAACTTCAGCAAAGTCTCGGGATACAAAATCAATGCACAAAAATCACAAGCATTCTTATACACCAATAACAGACAAACAGAGAGCCAAATCATGAGTGAACTCCCATTCACAATTGCTTCAAAAAGAATAAAATACTTAGGAATCCAACTTACAAGGGATATGAAGGACCTCTTCAAGGAGAACTACAAACCACTGCTCAGTGAAATAAAAGAGGATACAAACAGATGGAAGAACATTCCATGCTCATGGGTAGGAAGAATCAATATCGTGAAAATGGCCATACTGCTCAAGGTAATTTATAGATTCAATGCCGTCCCCATCAAGCTACCAATGACTTTCTTCACAGAATTGGAAAAAACTACTTTAAAGTTCATATGGAACCAAAAAAGAGCCCGCATTGCCAAGTCAATCCTAAGCCAAAAGAACAAAGCTGGAGGCATCACGCCACCTGACTTCAAACTATACTACAAGGCTACAGTAACCAAAACAGCATGGTACTTGTACCAAAACAGAGATATAGATCAATGGAACAGAACAGAGCCCTCAGAAATAATGCCGCATATCTACAACTATCTGATCTTTGACAAACCTGAGAAAAACAAGCAATGGGGAAAGGATTCCCTATTTAATAAATGGTGCTGGGAAAACTGGCTAGCCATATGCAGAAAGCTGAAACTGGATCCCTTCCTTACACCTTATACAAAAATTAATTCAAGATGGATTAAAGACTTAAATGTTAGACCTAAAACCATAAAAACCCTAGAAGAAAACCTAGGCATTACCATTCAGGACATAGGCATGGACAAGGACTTCATGTCTAAAACACCAAAAGCAATGGCAAGAAAAGCCAAAATTGACAAATGGGATCTAATTAAACTAAAGAGCTTCTGCACAGCAAAAGAAACTACCATCAGAGTGAACAGGCAACCTACAGAATGGGAGAAAATTTTCACAACCTACTTATCTGACAAAGGGCTAATATCCAGAATCTACAATGAACTTAAACAAATTTACAAGAAAAAAACAACCCCATCAAAAAGCGGGCAAAGGATATGAACAGACACTTCTCAAAAGAAGACATTTATACAGCCAAAAGACACACGAAAAAATGCTCATCATCACTGGCCATCAGGGAAATGCAAATCAAAACCACAATGAGATACCATCTCACACCAGTTAGAATGGCAATCATTAAAAAGTCAGGAAACAACAGGTGCTGGAGAGGATGTGGAGAAATAGGAACACTTTTACACTGTTGGTGGGACTGTAAACTAGTTCAACCATTGTGGAAATCAGTGTGGCAATTCCTCAGGGATCTAGAACTAGAAATACCATTTGACCCAGCCATCCCATTACTGTGTATATACCCCAAGGACTATAAATCATGCTGCTATAAAGACACATGCACACGTATGTTTATTGCGGCACTATTCAAAATAGCAAAGACTTGCAACCAACCCAAATGTCCAACAATGATAGACTGGATTAAGAAAATGTGGCACATATACACCATGGAATACTATGCAGCCATAAAAAATGATGAGTTCATTTTCTTTGTAGGGACATGGATGAAATTGGAAATCATCATTCTCAGTAAACTGCCGCAAGGACAAAAAACCAAACACCGCATGTTCTCACTCATAGATGGGAATTGAACAATGAGAACACATGGACACAGGAAGGGGAACACCACACTCTGGGGACTGTTGTGGGGTGGGGGAAGGGGGGAGGTATAGCATTAGGAGATATACCTAATGCTAAATGACGAGTTAATGGATGCAGCACACCAGCATGGCACATGTATATATATGTAACTAACCTGCACATTGTGCACATGTACCCTAAAACTTAAAGTATAATAATAATTTAAAAAAAGATATATCAAAAAAAAGAAAATTTAGGATATAGAATTACAGTTGATTTGCCATCTTATTGGTGGTAATATATTTAAGTTTATGACATTTCCGTAAATAAAGCATTAGTCATTTTTCTTCCACATTCAGGAATGATAGTGAAGAATAATGTGTGTTGTAAGAAAATTCCCAAACCATGTTTTGAATGGAGTTTCCTTATTACTATCTTAATTCAATTTATCAGTATATATATACATATATATGAGTATGTGTATGCCTATATATGTGTACATATGTAAACATGTATAAAAATGTGTATATATACACATGTGTTATTTTATATCCATATATAATTAAATGTACATAAAATTTTAAAACATAAAATGTTTGTATAACTTTAAAGTATCTAATTCTCATTGTCAGGAATTTAAAGGGAATGTATCAAATAAGGTAAATGTTTGGTGGTCTATTTGGACAACAATTTGTTCAGGCTTTAGCTTTGCAATTTTGGAAACTTGTTTTTACCAAACATAAAGGGTTCTCTTTGAACAGTCTCAAACCATATAAATCAAAAAAGATCATTCTATGAATTAAGATGTCTAATTATTTTTATTTCATAATATCAAATGTAACCTTAAAGTAGGTTGAATACTCTGGTATAAATAATCTTCTGTAAAAGAGAAAGAAAAAGTCCACCAGAATCATTGATCTAATATGAAGGTCAGTGTGTCTGTGAGGGTGTTTCCAGAAGAGATTAGCATTTGAATTGGCAGAATGAATAAAGATCTCTCTCACCAATGTGAGTGAACATCATCTAATTCCTTGAAGGTCTGAATAGAAGAAAAAAGTGGAGGAAAGGTGAATTTGCTCTCGCTTGACCTGGGATATCCATTTTTTCCTAACCTCAGACATTGACGCTCCTTGTTCCCAGGGCCTTTGGACTTAGAATGAGACTTGGACCATTGGCTCTGTTGGTTGTCAGGCCTTTCGATTTGGGTTGGAATTACAGACGTTCCTGGGCTTTGCCTCTAACTTGCAGAGGACACACTATGGGGCTTCTTAGGATCTATAATTGCATTATAGATCGATTAGATAGATAATTACATATAATTGTAGAAACATAAAGAGACAATGTGTGATTCAGCACTTTTTTTATCTCCTTAAAGATCATGACTGCTCCAATGTCAGCAAATTTGAACACTTCTTTTTCTTTCTCCCTCTCTCTTCATGTGTGCTCATGTGTACAAATGCACATATATGTGTGTGCATAGATATATACATACATACAAGTAAATCATACACAAACACATAACAAGGTCTTTATATAATGATAATCATGAAATGCTAATAAATATTTCTAAATAAAGAGGTATTTTAAAAAAATCATTTGGGCTTTTTTCTTCCCTGATGTTTTTCAACAAGAGAATAATATACTTATTTTTAATGAAAACAAGAAAGTTATGATTTTTCAAAATTAAAGAACAAAGCCTATAACAGATGGACTACCTGGTGGAGAGTAGCAGCGCTGTGTCGTATATTAAAACACTAAGGATGAAGATAGAATGAGAAGAAGTAGCAGTGATCTCAGAAGCCTAGAGGGGCAATGCTCTATCTATCTATCTATCTATCTATCTATCTATCTATCTATCTATCATCTATCTATCATCTATCTCAGAACACAAACCTAAATAAATCAAATATTGACAGAACTGAAGGGAACAATAGCAATACAACAGAAGCAGGAGATTTCAATCCTCCACTTTTAATATTAAGCAGATCAACATAACAGAAACATCAACAAACAATGGACTTGAACAGTAGACCAAATGAACTTAACATATACGGAACATTCTACCCAACATCAGCTGACTATACATTCTTCTCAAGCAGTGACAGAAAATTCTCCAGGTTAGATCACATTAGGTCCCAAGACGAGTATTAACAAATTTAAGATGATTGAATTCATCCTAACTATCTTTTCAACCACAATGTAATGAAACTAGAAACTAGTTGTGGAAGGAAACAGGGGCATTCACAAGTATGTGAACTTTAAATAACATACTTTTGTCAACCAATAGGTGAAAGGAGAAATTAAAAAGGGAAATTAGAAAACAGGGAAAAAAGGGAAATTAGAAACATTTTACTTTTACATCTTGAGAGGAATATATAAGACACCAATACTTATGGGATGTGGCAAAAGCAGTGGTAAGCAGTACTAAGAGTGAAGCTTATTGCAATAAAAATTATAATTAAAAAGGAAAAGATCTCAAATAAACAACCTAACTGTACACATCAAGAAACTAGAAAAAGAATAACAAATTAATCCCAAAGTTAGTAGAAAGAAGCATGTAATAAAAATTACAGTGAAAATTAATGAAATAGAGATTAGGAAAACAATAGAAAAAAACTCAATGAAATAAGCTTTAGTTGTTCGAAAAGGTAAAGTTGACAAACAATAGACTATTTTTTTCTTTTTTCTTTTCTTTTTTTTTTTTTTGAGACAGAGTCTTGTTCTGTCACCCAGGCGGGAGTGCAGTGGCACAATCTCAGCTCACTGCAACCTCCGCCTCCCGGGTTCAAGTGATTCTCTTGTCCCAGCCTCCAGAGTAGCTGGGATTACAGGCATATACCACCACGCCTGGCTAATTTTTATATTTTTAGTAGAGATGGGGTTTCATCATGTTGGCCAAACTGGTCTAGAACTCCAGACCTCAGGTGATCCACCCACCTCGGCCTCCCAAATTGCTGGGATTACAGGTGTGAGCCACCATGCCCAGCCTAGACTAATTATTAAAGTACATTCAAATAAATAATTCAGAAATGAAAGCAGTGGCAATTAAGAAATGAAAGCAGTGACACTATTGTAACTGATACCATAGAAATAAAAAGTATCATAATAGATTTCTATGAATAATTATTCACCAATAAACTGAATAACTGAGAAGAAATGAATAAATTACTAGAAACCTACAAGCTGCTAACACAGTAACATGAAGAACTAGAAAGTCTGAACAGACCTATAACTAGAGAAAAGACTGATACAATAACAAAAACCGTCTCAAGGAAAAGCCCAGAACCAGATAACTTTACTGGTAAATTTACCACAAATTTGAAAAAGGTTTGTCAATCCTTCTCAAAGTAATATAATGTTAAAAAGAATGGTATCCTTTTGAACTCTTTTTATAAAGTCCGCATTATCGTGATACCAAAATGAGATAAAGATACTGAAATAAAGAAAAGAAACCTATAGGCCAACATCTCTGATAAATATATGCAAAAATCTTCAACAAAATAGTAGTAAATAAAAAAAAAATCATACACCATGACCATGTGATGTATCCCTGGAATACAAGAATATTTCAACATATGCAAATCAATTTATGTAATACCCCACATTCACAGATTCAAGAAAAAAAATCCTATTAAATTCTCAACAGATGCATTTTAATTTCAACACTCTTTCATGATAAAACTCCTGACTTAGTAGGTATAGAATGAGTGTTCTTCAACATGATAAAATTCATTGATGAGAAGTTCACAACTATCATCATAGTCAATACCAAAACTGAAAGTTTCTCCTCTAAGATCAGAAACAAGAGGATACCCGTGATCTCCACAATATTATTATTATTATTATTATTATTATTTTATTATTATTTGAGACAAGGTCTCACCCTGTAACTCAGGCTGGTGTGTCACCCAGGCACAATCACAGCTCACTGCAGCCTTGACCTCCCAGGCTCAGGCAATCTTTCCAAGTCAGCCTCCCAAGTAGCTGGGACTATAGGCCATGCAACAATGCCCAGCTAATTTTTAAAATTGTTTGTAAAGATAGGGTCTCATTAGGTTGCCCAGGCTGGTCTCAAACTCCTGGGCTCAAGCAATCCTCCTGCATCAGCCTCCCAAAGTGCTGGGATTACAGGCATGAGCCACCACACCTAGCCACTATCTCTTATTTCTATTCATTGTTGTACTAAAAGAAACAACAGAATTTGAATATGACAAATAGAAGTAAATTTATCTCTGTTTGCAGATGAAATAATCTTCTAAGTTGGAAACCCTTAAGATTAACAAAAAACTAATAGAACTAATAAATTTAGCAAAGTGGCAGAATAAAAAAATTAACATGCAAAATTAGTAGCATTTATCCACATGAATATTTAAAAATTAAGAAAAAAATCTCATTTAAAATAGCATGAAAAGAATAAAATAGTGTAAAAAGTTCATTTTTCTCAGCATTTTCACTAGCATTTGATATACATTTTTTTCTTTTTGATAATAGCCATTCTAACCAAGGGAAGATGATATCTCATTGTCATTTTGATTTGCATTTCCCTGATGATTAGAGATGCTGAGCATTTTTTTCATGTAATTGTTGTCCACTTGTATGTCTTTTGAAAACTGTCTATTCAGACCCTTTGCCCATATTTTAATTGAATTATTTTTTATTTTGCTGTGAAGTCAAGTTCCTCGTATTTTCTTGACGTTAGTCCTTTGTTGGATGAATCATTTGCAAATATGTTCTCATATTTAATCAGTTATCTCTTCATTCTGTTGATTGTTTCCTTTGCTGTGCAGAAGATTTTTGGCTTAACAAAAATCCCATTTGTGTATTTGTGCATTTGTTGCCTGTCCTTCAGAATCTTATTCATAGGTAAAATCTTTGCCCAGATCAATGTCCTGAAGCATTTCCCCTTTTTTTTTCCAGTAGTTAGTAGTTTTATAGTTTCAGCTTTTATATTTAAGTCTTTAATCCATTTTGAGTTTATTTGCATACTGTTGGTGGGAATGCAAACAGTGCAGCCTTTATGAAAAAGAATATGGTGATTTATCTAAAAATTACAAACAGAACTACCACACCACATCCAAAAAACTGAAACCAGGATCTCAAAAGATATCAGCATTCCTATGTTCACTGTAGCACTATTTACAATAGCCAACATGCGGAAACAACTGCAATGTCCAATGACTGATGAATGGATTTAAAAATGTGATGAATACATATATCGGGACAGTGGCTGGGTATAGGAAAAGAAAAATGGGAAATTGCTAATCAACAGGCATAAAGTTTCAATTATGCAAGTTTAAGAAGCTCTAGAGATCTGCTGTACATTGTACCTACTTTAAAAAATACTCTATTGTACACCTAATTTGCAAAAAGTGTAGATCTCACACTGTGTTCTCATCACAATAAAATAAAATTTAAAAAAATCCCAAAAAATACAAAATACTTTCACTTGTAAGTATGAAAAAGAATGGCACAAAGACTAGAGCAGAGTGCATCATACACAAATAACAGGAGACATCAAAGAGATAATGGGGCAGACTCTAACAATATATAGTAATGAAAATACTAGAAGCACTTATCTAAAATAGTGTGCGAAGTATTTTTTTTTAATTTCAGGCTAGCTGCATTACCTCCTAATTAGAATAGTGGCCAATCATGGGAAACATTGCAGGAATACTAATGTGCAATATATGAAAGCTCCTGGCAGGGTTAGTTTACTAGTAAGGGAGAAAAGAGCTAGAGTTGGAGTGAGAGTTACAGCAAGAATGAGTGAAAAAGACCAAAATATTCAAATATCCTAAGAAAACTGCTAAAGTTGAAAACAAAAATGTTACTAGCATGTCCATGGGGGAATCAGCTGCTTAAAAAGGAATGAGAACCCGAGTGACATCATATTCCTCATTTGTAAAATCATATTTCTTACCTATAAAACTGAATGTCAGAAGGAAGTAGAAACACTTAAAACAGCTATGAAATAAGAGATCTGAGACCAAGAATTTTATTTGTCATCAAGATATCAATTTAGATAAAGACAAACAGATATTTTTTAATGCAGTGTTTTAGAAAACATGTACAATTTTTGAGAAAATACCTCAAGGAAGCACCTCAATTTAATAAAAATTAAATCAAAGCAATGTTCTCAAGAGGATAGAAGAGGAAACTGATTAGAGTTCTCTAATAGATTATATTTTAAATGAAAAGTCAAGATTTGCTTTTTTAAGCAGGCAAAAATTCAATTAACATAAAACTGATTAAATTATTCATCAAATAGAATATAGAAGCTGAAATCATTTATGATGTACCAGGGGTAAGTACTTTTAAAAATCTCAGGCTAGATAAACTCTAATTTATTAAAAACAGTGATTTAATATAGGAGATATTATAGAAGTTATACTAATTTCAACTTGATAAAATTGGAATTCTCCCAGAAAGATAAATCAATATTATATGAAGAGTACAGATGTAACTGCAGCAAAAGTTTTAAGGCTTTTTTATACATATAAATAATCACTGTTATTAGACTTATATTATAGAAATTAAACAGCATAATTTAAACTGCTTTTATCAATATAAACTACTGTATTTAACTAATAAAAAATTTCAAACATTTGCCTATTACTTTCAAATACTGTATTTATCTTAGTTCATTTAAAATAAAATGGTATAATATAAAAATATTTTGTTGTATTCTTCAGACCTCACCAGGCTCTAAAATATTGTGTGCATTATTTTTTTCTGGCTCTGATAATCCTAACCTCTCTCAACTGTTTGCCAATTTTCTGTTTATGAAGTTGGCTTCTTTTAGTTTTAACATGTTGAGACAGTACACACAAAATTAGTTTGCAACACCTGGCCTAGAATATTTAGCTCATGAGAAATCCTGTCCCCAAATTATAATAATTTAAAGTCTTATCTCATAGCCGTGGTATAAAAACAAAGTCACCTAAGAGTGTTTTCATGAAAGTAGGTAAGAAAAGGTTTATTGATTACCCAAATATATGCAGTTCTCCAGTGAGCAGTGCCATTTCTGTTTGTAAGTCTTAGTCAGAAAAAAGATATGAAATGTACATTGTTGCCGAGAGCCCTTGACTTCTAGATCTGCTTTATACAGACTAGTTTTTAAAGTAGTAACTAAAATAACATCACTGTTCTAAAGAAATCAGCTGGCATAATTATATAATAAAGGTTGAGTACTTAACACAATTATGGTATTACTTTCTACTTTTAAATTTAAAGTTTAAATATTAACATCTGAAACACAAGTTGTTTTTATTTAATTCCATCTTTTTCCCAATGGTAGTTATATAGTTACTTGTCAAAAAAGAAGATATATTGACCTTTTTATAACATATTTATTCTGAAACTTATATTTTGTTCAAGAATTTGAGGTATACTAATTATACTGTAAGCAAAAAGGAATGTGTTAATAGAATCTAAAACACTTATGGAAAACAATAAATACCTACATTTCTGGAAGGAATGCTCTGACACCTCAGCAAAAGAGATTCATGGGATTTCTTGTTCTCTAACAAAATTTAGTGCTATCCATTCCCAACCCCACACAATTCCTGAAACTTAGCTCAATTTTTCATGTGAAATGGTATGATTTGCTCAGTCTAAATACAGATTGATTCCTCTAAGATCAAGCATTTACCTAATTCATTTTGCTATAACCCATGAGGCAAGATCAAGTTGTTCATAGCTACCTACTAGTAAGATCACATCGTCATATGAAATACCTGTATAATATTTGACATATCCTGTACATTGAAATTAAAATAAAAAGAATTTATTTTAATGGAAAATCTATTATATTTGAAATGCTTACATTAGAGATTATTTTGGTTAATTTTGTATCTTCTTTTTTTTAATTATACTTTAAGTTTTAGGGTACATGGGCACAATGTGCAGGTTAGTTACATATCTATACATGTGCCATGTTGGTGTGCTGCACCCATTAACTCGTCATTTAACATTAGGTATATCTCCTAATGCTATAATTCCCCCCTCCCCCCACCCCACAACAGGCCCCAGTGTGTGATGTTCCCCTTCCTGTATCCATGTGTTCTCATTGTTCAATTCCCACCTATGAGTGAGAACATGTGGTGTTTGCTTTTTTGTCCTTGCGATGGTTTGCTGAGAATGATGGTTTCCAGCTTCATCCATGTCCCTACAAAGGACATGAACTCATCATTTTTTATGGCTGCATAGTATTCCATGGTGTATATGTGCCACATTTTCTTAATCCAGTCTATCATTGTTGGACATTTGGGTTGGTTCCAAGTCTTTGCTATTGTGAATAGTGCTGCAATAAACATACGTGTGCATGTGTCTTTATAGCAGCATGATTTATAATCCTTTGGGTATATACCCAGTAATGGGATGGCTGGGTCAAATATTGTATATTCTAATGATCAAGACATGCAAAAATGAGTAAAACTGTGTTGTCTTATAATATTGCAGTATTACCTTAAAATACAATGTTTCATTGTGCTTCAAGAATTTACATAATAACGAAACATAAATGAGCTGACATTTTTATGCTGATTGAATCTCTTTTCTATCCAACTTTATCTTTCTATAAATCAAGTGTCTTGGATAGTAAGTATACAGGGTATTAAATCATTCTAATTCCATGTATAAATTAATGACACCCAAATTTTTAACTCTAGCACTTTCTTTCCCTATAATATCTAATTGCCTACTCAATATAACTAGCTAAATTTTAATAAGGATGTAATTTAATATGCCCAAAATCAAAGTCTTATTTCACCAACAAAACGATCTTCTCATAGTTTTCTCTACTTAATTAAATATCAGACTCCCCACACAATGTCTTAGCAAGTCATGCAGGATCTCTTCCCTTAAAATGTGTCAAATATAAGATTAACCCCCTTCACTGCTAGTATTCTATTCCAAGAAACAATAATATTTTACTTGGACTTTTCAATTCTAACTGACCTCCATGCTTCCATTGTTGTACATCCCTAGTTGCTTCAAGATGCAACAATCAGAATGATATTTTTAAATACAGATTGGATCGTGTCACTCCTCTCTCTACTCAGTAGCCAATAGGGTTTTCCTTTTTTTTGGATTTAACTTTGAACTTCTAACCATGTCTTACAGGATTTCTGTGATCTGTGCCCTGATACTACTTTTTTTCCTTCCCCTCCCTCTGACAGTGTGTGTTGTTCCCATCTATGTGTCCATGTGTTCTCATCATTTAGCTTCCACTTATAAATGAGAACATGAAGTATTGATTTTCTGTTCCTACCCTAGTTTGCTAAGGATGATGGCCTCCAGTGTCATCCATGCCCCTACAAAGGACATAATATTGTTTCTTCTTTTTTTTTTAATACTTTAAGTTCTGGGAAATGTGCAGAACATGTAGGTTTTTTACATAGGTATACACGAACCATGGTGGTTTGCTGCACCCATCAACCCGTCATCTATATTAGGTATTTCTCCTAATGCTATCCCACCCCGACCCCACCCCAACAGGCCCCAGTGTGTGATATTCCCCTCCTTGTGTCCATGTCCATGTGTTCTCATTTTTCAACTCCCACTTTTGAGTGAGAACACATGGTGTTTGGTTATCTGCTCCTGTGTTAGTTTGCTGAGAATGATGGTTTCCAGCTTCATCCATGTCCTTGGCAAAGGACATGAACTCACCCTTTCTTAGGCTGCATAGTATTCCGTGGTGTATATGTGCCACATTTTCTTTATCCAGTCTATCATTGATGGGCATTTGGGTTGGTTCCAAGTCTTTGCTATTGTGAACAGTGCTGCAATAAACATACGTGTGCATGTGTCTTTATAGTAGAATGATTTATAATCCTTTGGGTATATATCCAGTAAGAGGATTGCTGGGTCAAATGGAATTATTGGCACTAGACCCTTGAGGAGTCGCCACACTGTCTTCCACAATGGTTGAACTAATTTACAGTCCCACCAACAGTGTAAAAGCATTCCTATTTCTCCACATCCTCTCCAGCATCTGCTGTTTTCAGACTTTAATGGTCACCATTCTAGCTGGTGTGAGATGGTATTTCATTGTGGTTTTGATTTGCATTTCTCTAACGACCAGTGAAGATGAGCTTTTTTCATACGTTGGTTGGCTGCATAAAAGTCTTCTTTTGAGAAGTGCCTGTTCGTATCCTTCACCCACTTTTTGATGGTGTTGTTTTCTTCTTGTAAATTTGTTTCAGCACCTTGCAGATTCTGGATATTAGCCCTTTGTCAGATGGATAGATTGCAAAACTTTTCTCTCATTCTGTAGGTTGCCTGTTCACTCTGATGATAGTTTCTTTTGCTGTGTAGAAGCTCTGTAGCTTCATCAGATTCCATTTGTCAATTTTGGCTTTTGTTGTCCTTGTTTTTGGTGTTTTAGTCATGAAGTTTCTGCCCATGCCTATCGCCTGAGTGGTATTGCCTAGGCTTTCTTCTAGGGTTTTTATGGTTTAGGTCTTATGTTTAAGTCTTTCATCCATCTTGAGTTAATTTTGTATAAGGTGTAAGGAGGGTATCCAGTTTCAATTTTCTGCATATGGCTAACCAGTTTTTCCAACACCATTTATTAAATAGGGAACTCTTTCCCCATTGCTTGTTTTTGTCAGGTTTGTCAAAGATTAGATTGGTGTAGATGTGTGGCATTATTTCTGAGGCCTCTGTTCTGTTCCATTGGTCTATGTATTTGTTTTGGTACTAGTACCATGCTGTTCTGGTTACTGTAGGCTTGTAGTATAGTTTGAAGTCGGGTAGTGTGATGCCTCCAGCTTCATTCTTTATGCTCATGATTGACTTGGCTATATGGGCTCTTTTTTGGTTCCATATAAAATGTAAAGTAGTTTTTTATAATTCTGAAGGAAGCACTAAATATGGAAAGGAAAAACTGGTACCAGCCACCGCAAAAACATACCAAATTGTAAAATCCATCAAGAGTATGAAGAAACTGCATCAACTAATGGTCAAAATAACCAGCTAGCATCATAATGGCAGGATCACATTCACACATAGCAATATTAACCTTAAATGTAAAAGGGCTAAATGCCCAAATTACAAGACACAGACTGGCAAATTGGATACAAGACCTATCAGTGTGCTGTATTCAGGAGACACATCTCATGTGCAAAGACACACATAGGCTCAAAATAAAGGGATGGAGGATTATTGACCAAGCAAATGGAAAGCAATAAAAAGCAGGGGTTGCAATCATAGTCTCTGATAAAACAGACTTTAAACCAACAAAGATAAAAAAAGACAAAAAGGGCATTACATAATTATATATTTTACATAATGGTAAAAGGACCAACGCAACAAGAAGAGCTAACTATCCTAAATATATATGCACCCAATACAGGAGCACCCAGATTCATAAAGCAAGTTCTTAGAGACCTAGTAAAAGACTTACACTCCCACACAATAATAGTGGGAGACATTAACACCCCACGGTCAATATTAGACAGATCAATGAGACAGAAAATTAACAATGATATTCAGGACTTGAACTCAGCTCTGGACCAAGTGCACCTAATAGACGTCTACAGAACTCTCCACCCCAAATCAACACAATGTACATTCTTTTCAGCACCACATTGCACTTATTCTAAAATTGACCACACAATTGGAAGTAAAACAATCCTCAGCAAAGGCAAAAGAACAGAAATAATAACAGTCTCTCAGACCACAGTGCAATCAAATTAGGACTCAGGATTAAGAAACTCATTCAAAACCACACAACTACATGGAAACTGAACAACCTGCTCCTGAATGACTACTGGGTAAATAATGATATGAAGGCAGAAATAAAGATGTTCTTTGAAACCAATGAAAGCAAAGACACAACATACCAGAATCTTTGGGACAGAGGTAAAGCAATGTTTAGGGGGAAATTTATAGCACTAAATGCCCGCAGGAGAAAGGGGGAAAGATCTTAAATCGACATCCTAACATCGCAGTTAGAAGAACTAGAGAGGCAAGAGCAAACAAATTCAAAAGGTAGCATAAGAGAAGAAATAACTAAGATCAGACCAGAGCTAAAGGAGACAGAGACATGAAAAACGCTTCAAAAATCAATGAACCCAGGAGCTAATTTTTTGAAAAGATTAACAAAATAAATAGACCATTAGCCAGATTAATAAGGAAGGAAAGAGAGAAGAATCAAATAGACACAATAAAATATAATAAAGGGGCTATCACCACTGATCCTACAGAAATACAAACTACCATCAGAGAATAATATAAACACCTCTATGCAAATAAACTGGAAAATCTAGAAGAAATGGATAAATTCCTGGACACATACACCCTCCCAAGTCTAAACCAGGAAGAAAATACATATTCAATCACAATCAAATGGATGTTTCAAAAGTGGAGCAATTTGAGTGTCAGATATTAACATAGATTATTCTTGTTTTTCACCAGGTTTACTTCAAGTTTAACATAAGTTTATAGAGTTGCGCTAAAGGGAAGCATTTTTGAAAAAGTAAAATAAAATAGAATAAAAGCATCACCACTGTATAAAGTTCCTTGGTTTTGCTTTATTCCTAATCATATTATTGAGAGTTGTCTTTCATCTCTGAATTTATATTGTTGTTACTCTGTAGTTCAATTATTTGCTCCATAATACCTATAGTCCCCCATCTGTAAAATGGTGCTAATAATCTTATCTAATATTTTGTTGAGTTGATGTGAGAGTTAAATGGAAAAACGCTTGTAAAATACTCAGCATAATGTCCTGCACATAAGAAGCACAGGATAAATTTTAGCTTTCACTTTTCCAGCTTGTTATCTGTACTCTTAATCACAGTACGAAACACAAGGAAGTCTTTCTAATTTTATGAAGGCCTTGATAGGCTAATTTTATTTTTAGAAAATATCTCATTTCCTCTTCTATGCATATCTATGAAGAAACTTCTAAAATCATTCATATATGCATGATTTGAATGCTAAGGTACAGCATATAAAAAAGCTGGGTTAATTTAGCATCTCATTCTCATATAGCTATTGAAGAGAAACAATCTTTAGAGTATAGAATAATGGATTATGGATAGATGAATAAATCTGAGTATTTAGAGAGAGGAATAAATCTGAATCTCCTTGACATACTGTCTTCACTGTTTGCCGAATGAAAGATGGCTCTCTTATTTACTTAGAAGCCCTAATTTTAAAACTTTCAGAAAACCTGTATTTTCCTGGAGAAACTAGCTCCTGAGCAACATACGATGAGGATACTTTCACCAATTAGAAAACCCAAACACTGTATTTTTCATTTCAATTTGTTCACAGATACAGCTGGGATAAAAATCTTTTTACTTACAAGAAATGCTTTATTTTGCCCACGAATTATTTGCTATTCACTGGGATGATATACAGTATACATTATAACGTATAATTTGGCTTCTCAGGCTTATTTTCTTTTCATTATAATTTTATCTGTATTCTAGAGAACTGAGTTTTCAATTAAGTACTTTTCCATTTTACTTATTTGTGCCTATTTTGTATTTTGTATTCTGTATTTGTGCCTATTTTGTCCACTCATTTGTTCATATGTTTTTCCTCTTAACAAACAGAGCATTCATGCCTTTGAGTTTCCAGAGACTTTTTTTCAAATAATAAAATTTCAGACATGGCATAGCTTTTAACGACAATTGAGTTTAATATTTTTATATTATAGATAAAAAACTGAAGTCCAGTGAGGTTAAATATTTATTGAGGCCAAAAAGCAATTAGTTATTCAGTTTGTTCACTTTTTTCTGGACTATAACATAAGCATACAGGTGTACCAGTTTTGCTTGAATATGTATTTTCTAGGCTTTGCTCTCTTCTTCATCATCATCACTACTGCCCCACATCAGTCCTAATCTTCTCTCTTTTTTTTTTTTTTTTTTTTTGAGATGGTGTCTCACTCTGTTGCCCAGGCTGGAGTGCAGTGGCACAATCTTGGCTCACTGCAGCCTCCACCTCCCAGGTTCAAGCAATTCTCCTGCCTCAGCCTCCTGGGTAGCTGGGACTGCAGGCATGCGCCACCACGCCTGGCTAATTTTTATATTTTTAGTAGAGATGGGGTTTCGCCATGTTGGCCAGGCTGGTCTCGAGCTCCTCACCTCAAATGATCCACCCGCCTCGGCCTCCCAAAGGGCTGGGATTACAGGCATGAGCCACTGCGCCTAGCCTAGGCCTAATCTTCTCCGGTGAAGCCTAGAGCAATTTTATCTTAACAAATCTTCCTACCCCCACTTGTAGTGCCTCATGACTATAAAATATATTGATGCTGTAACACCTCTCTTCTTATAATATTAGATTAAGCAGGAGCGTTTACGAAGCAGAACCGAAACCAAAAACAATATATGTTACTTCATATGTTTACACATTTTAAAATCCCCTAAGGAATACTCTATAATAAACAAAAGCCAAAGATGAATGATATAATTAAAAAATGCATTGTATTTAGTATATGACTGATGTCCTTAATTTACAAAGAATTCAATGAAAGAAAAAAATCAGGGGTAGTAAGTAAAAATAAGAAAAATATGTGGACTAGGTATTAAAAACATGGAGATATGAATTAACAATCCGTTGTCATTTTCTTGTCCTACAATGTTTATCTGGTTGTGTTCAGTTCATCTTTATAAAACCCTATGAGTTGTGTGTTATTCTACCCAATTTACATCTGATGACAATTAATCTCAGAGTTTAAGTAATTTGTCCAATGTCATCATGTCCTGGATAGTTCATGTGTATATGGTTGTCTTGGCCAGGACATTACCATATGAACATTGTTCTATATGACCTTTTCTAACATAGGACATCATTATGTTACAAGTGGTCAGTAAGGCTGAGATACTGTGGAGATATCAGTGATACTTTTTATGACACCAATCCTCAATGTTCATTGTCCAAAAGGTTTTGTTGGTGAGCAGGGTGGAATTGGGTGGAGGGAGCTTACTTCTGGAACTTACGCCTGTCTTTTTCTACCCTCTTGTTTCCAGAGAGTATGACACAAAATTTTGTTCCTTTTCATACCCAGAAGCCACAGAAAGTCTGATGATGTCAATGTATAGATGATAGCTGTGAAAGATAATAGAGAGATGAAAAAGAGAGTAGATGATAGGTAGATGGAAAGATATAGAGACAGATTTTTAAATATAAAACATCTTATACATTTGATGGGGTAATTCTCTTAGCTGAGGTATTATTGAATAGTTTAATGATATCTTCTTATTCCCATGGATCAAAATACATCTTACAATCTTGAAAAGCCAGTCCCTGTGCTTTGGGAATTTCTAGCAGTCAGAAATTTAATGATCAATCAAAATTTGGGCCTTAATGAATCATGATCTATTACGTATTTTTCTCACAGTGATTCAGGATGCTGTTTCCAGATGACAATCATCAAAAAAAAAGTAAATAAATAAATACGTTAAAATTTGTCAAGATGATTTAGTAGTCAAGAACTTTTTAAACTTTTTTATTATATTTAGTTTTGATACTGCCATACATTTTAATAGCTGACACTAAATTAACTGCTAATTTAAAAATTTTTTAATTATTTTGTATTGACTCTCATAGACATTATTAATCTATGTATACACATAATTTTGAATAGTTCATGATTAAATGTAATTTCCTTTCTCATGGTCACAAAAAGGTATTGTAATTGACTATTTTTGTTTGGAATCTGGCAACAAATATCAGTTCTAACATCTTATTTCACAGGCTTTACTGTCCATCATTTATGTGCTGAATCCAATTGTAAAATTAGCTTAGATTATATAAAAAGAAAACAACTTGAGTGAGGAAAAGTAAGAATAAAAGTATGAAGTCAAAAACTTTAAAAAAAAAGTTTACAAGTTATTTTTGTCACCAAAGTAAACAATAAAATTTTACCTAAATTTGATAGATGTAATTCTCTCAGTGACATTTCTTATTCAATCACGTATTATAATATTTTGTTCTTTTATTTTCAAAAAATCATTTCTCATTATCAGTATTTTTTAAAGGAGGTGGAAGATCATTTGATATATGTCTGATATGATTTGCATAAAAATGACATCAGAAATAATTGAAGACTTTTTCTTTAAAATTTATATAAATCATCTTATGAAAATTGTTTTTAATTAACACTAATTTCAATATGGTTTCTAAAGCTAAAAACTTTGGACCTTTTTTAAAAATTATGTATTTTTAAGGTTTACAATAATATAAGTTTTGAAAAGTAATCTAATATTAACATGTCATACCTACCAGAGATCAGCAACTTATCCTAAAATTCCTAACAATCCAAAAGGAATACACAAATCACTGCGTCACACAATTTTTCATAAATTCAAATTATTTTCTCCACATAAGATATTTTAAAATGTAAACACACGATGAAGTAGCAGTTTCATTTAATCTTATTTAATTTCAATACTAGATGGAGCAGCCACCAACAGTATTACCAATGTCTCAGGCATGCAGAGGAAATTTTTCTCTTTGTGTTCTGGTTGACTGCTTCCCACCTCTTTGCACACCTGTAGTATTATAAACTCGTAAATGCAAAATTACATCACATCCCCTCTTCTGTAACTTCTCCCCAATCAAAGCAGATACAATAGAATGAAAGTAACCATCTCCCATGGTAACATCCCTCCAACAGTTTATCAGCTCACTATGGTGTCATACTATCCAATAATTTCAATGCAAAAATATCTTTACAAATGGGTCCTGAAGATTCTTTACACCATGAAAATCATTAGCAAGGATAATTAACTGAGACTGCGGTGATGAATAGAGCTGCATTACTGATCAGTGTAATAAAGAACAGAAGCCACTAATTACAGATAGAGCCTCGAAGCTACTGAAAAACGTAATTTAACATTGCTGCCTGGATTCCACAAGGCCAGATATAAGTTTGCAATTAAAACAATAAGGTCTTCCAACAGATAATGCTTTTGGGACCAATCCAGGTGTAAGAAAATGTGCCCATCTGCATGGAGTGCCTTGGATCTAGTAGGGATTGTGCCTTAGGAAAAACATTTAAAAAATTAAAACTCCCTAAACATTTTGTTAGGTATTGTTATTACAATCCTGGCCTTCTATCACGTTGTCAGGTAATTTCTTTGAATTTTTAAAAGATTAAAAAGAATTTAGAAGAACATGTAGTATAAAAATAGCATAAATATAACAAAGCTGTAGGTCCAAAGAGTCACTTAGAATTGTGTGTTTCTTAGATACAAGAAAGACATTATTTCAACTGCAGAGAAAGTAGTAAGCTGTGGAGCAGTGTTTTCAAAAATACTTGACTTTAAGAATTATATGAGGTCCTTGTTACAATCCAGATTCCTGGGGAGTACCTGGGCAACTATAATATAATCTCAAAGGGGAGGACCTGGGATATTGATTTCAGTGACAGCTCTAGATGATTATCAGCAGACAAGTTTGAGTGCAGTGGAAACAAATGGGATTTGGGGTTTTAACATTGGTTCTTTGAATGTTGGATCTGCCATTTTATAGCCATATATCCTATTGGGAGCTATTCTTTCTGAGTCTGTTTCTTTATTTTTAGAATATGAAAATATATCAAATTCATCAGGTATAATACTTAAGTTTCAAGTGCGTATGCATTTCCTATTAATGTGTTTGTACATAGTAGACAAGCAGCCAAATATCAGTTCCCTCCCACTTTCTTCTTTGCTGTATTTGACAGAGTATTTTACCTTTATGGTTTTTTTTTAAATTCAGTGAATATACAGTCTCACTAACAGTGATTCATGCAGTGAGAGTCACATTGAAGAAAATGAAGCTATGAGAATATTACCTGCTTCGCAACTTAAAGCACCTCAAAGTATATATGAATATCTCATGCACTTAATCCCACTGTAAAGAAGAGGGAGTAAGAAGACAGACTTTCACTGCTATGTCAGCCCACCGTGTTTTACAGCACCAGATGCGCAAATTGCCTAGACAGCCTGCCTTCTTCTATTACAGTATTGGAATGTGGTAGCTGGTATATTCTCCAGTCGTAAGTCAAGAGAATTTTAGCATAAAGTAGGGGTTTCATATATTTATATAAAATGCTATTTGGTAAAATTCTACAGGAGCTAGAAATTTCCCAGAATATGTCAGATAAGACGTATTATTGGGAAATTTTAATCCTTTAAGAGTTTTCCTACATAATTTGAAATATTCTGTATTTAGAAATAGTTTCTCAATATTACTACATTCATAAAACATAAGAGCATGTCTTGGATTCTAATACTATAATTTAGTGTCTGACTCAAAGAGACGATAAAAAATCCTTATCACAAGTTATTGTATATGATTATCTTCTAGTAGCATTAAGATGATAACTGATATAATAGCCTCCCAAAAATTCAACTGTAACATCCATGCTGTAAAGAAGTTTCCTTTTTAGAAAAAAAAAAAAATGGTAATCTTATTTTCAAAAAGTCTAGTTTTCAATCTTGACTTTTAATCATATATCTTATTCACCTAAATATTTATTCCTGGCACACATATGCTTCTGAGCTAGGCCAATTGGGGAATATTAAAATTACACACAGAAAAGATCATACAGATCATCAATTCTATAAGTATTACATATACCTTTTAATTAAATGGCTAAAAGTTTGACTATGAAATATATAACAATATAAATTTAGAGGAGGACTCAACTATATACAGTATGGCTGACCAGTCATGTACTATAATGCTTTACAACTAATTTAATGGCATAACCAATTAGAGGTTAACAATGCAAACAGAATATTTCAGAGCCTTGGATTTGCATTTACGTAATTTCTTGATGTACATACTCAAGGGTCACATTAAGCCCTCTCCAAAATGAAATCAAACAAAAGATAAATAAATAATATATTGTTATTCTTTAGTTTTTTATTCAGCATTTCACAATATTAACATCAAATTATTTTATCTTTTGGCAATAAAGATTTCATTCATGTATGAAGCTGCTTTTCAGTGTTCAGCATACCAGTTTGTCTCTTATTAAACTGGCTAGTTTAAAATCTATTAGACCTCTTCCATTCTGAAGAGGAATGCACAATTTTCAGCCATAGATTTATTCATAAATATTACAGACTGTCTTGGAAGATAGAAAACAGAGAAAAATGTAGTAGTCAAGGCATAGCCTTAACATTTGAAGTAAAAAAAAAAAAAAGAACTAGAGTTGCAAACAGAATATCGTCTTCCTATTTGCTAAGAGTTATTCTTTACCCACAAACATTACTACTTTATCTCTCTCCTAGACTTAATGATTAATACAGATCCAAGTTTTAAAAATGAAAAAATAGAAATAAAAATAAAAGGGTGGAAGTTATGAATAATAGCAGGAAACTTAGGTATCTGAGGTAAAATAATTGAATTGGACATAAAGCAAAACTTTGAGCTTTCCAGAAGTCTTAAAAGTCGTAAGAATAAATAAGAGCATTGCATGCTCTTGGCTTTAGGTCTTTTCTAAAAGTGCCACTTTATAGCTACCTATCTTACTATTATCTCACAGATAATTTATATGTCGGTTGAAGGAAGGCACATTACAGAGATATGTCAATGTATCGTTGCCCTTCCAAAGCTAAGTCTTTTTTTTTTAAAGCCAAATATGAAAACCTAGTGGCTAGTACATAGTAAATATTCAATAAATGTCAGCCACTCCTCAATGCCTCAATTTTCTTTACTTGTTCTTATTTTATATCTGAAACTAATCAAACTATTATTTGGAGATTTCTCTAAGTGTTGAAATAACATTTGATAGAAATACATCTCAGAAGTGGTTGTGTGTTAACACCAATAGTATACTGCTTATGCCCCTAGACATCAAGATAAAACACCTCTGAGAGACCCGCTGATTACCATATCCAATTAGTTTGAATACTGTAATTAAATCTTTGGCAGTTTATTATTTGAAATCTCAAGTTAAACTATACAATAAAAAATTTAGAAGTGCTTGTAGGAACAGTGAATAGCATTGCTTGAGAAGAATGTGAAACTACTGAGATTAAGACACTCATTAAAGAGTAAGAAGATTAAGAAGTAGACAAAACTAAACAAGAGTCTAGAGTCAGGAATTAAATAGTTCCCCATCACTACCACACACCTCCAATGTGTAATAGAAAAATATATTTAATCCAATTAGTATTATATTAAGCAGTCACTAATTATAAAGAAAGCGTTTTGAATTTTGGTTACATACAAAAGCCAAAACATCCTTTTATACACCTACGTAATGTTTTTATTTATTTTACGTTTAAAATGACTACAATATTAAAAAAAAAAACACTTGAGCAATAGAAGAAGGTAAATTATGGGAAAGGAAATAGAAAGTAAGGGTAAGGGTTAAGACTAGCTCATAGAAATGCCTACCATAAAGTCCTGAGTAGGTGCAGAGATGTACCAAAATGTTTTCTCTCAACTTCCTAATGGTCAAAGCAATCAGGATGAAATTTAGAAACACAGTGTCTAAAATATTAGGGAAGTGAGGAGGGATGGGAGCCAGTTGTTTAAAAGATATATAGCTTTTGCTGATAGTGAGGCTTGAGAGGAATTTCTCCTTGGGGATACTGTAAAGAGGAAGCTATTCCATACATTGACTGCTGTTCTCAGTAACATCTACACAAAAGGAAAGCTAGCGAGTTCTTATGATGTTTTTTGATGTCCAGAAGGTAAACTGGTGGTGAATGCTCAATTGCGATTTAGTAAAAACAAATCTGTCAGGGCCAAAACATTGCCATTCAAGTATACAGCTCCCTGGTGGTTTCAAATCTAGATTTATTCCTTTGGGATTTAAGAGGAAATGGTGTTTTCCTGTGTACAGAGGGCACTCATTGTGATGGGCAGAATGTCTTTATTTTATTCCTTTTAAAGTTACAGTATTAAAAAATAAGAAAAGGTAATTCCTCAAATTAAACTCCAGTCGAAGCAATGCCATACTTCTGTAAAGAATGTCAAACAGCATGATGGTTTAATGATCAGTTCTCTGGAAAGGGAATCACCATGGGAAATTTCTGTTTTGATTTTTTTCTTCCTGAGGCCAGAGCTGTAGTAACATTTTTATCTGGCCTTATTCTCTATCAAGGTTCACTTTGAAAACTTCAAAGGCCATGTTTGGAAAATGAAAATAGCTCTCATTTTTATTCATTTTCATTTCAGACCAGCATGTAAAAATGGCAATCCTTTTAATCCCAGGGAAAAATGCTTTTAGACAAACCATGTAGGTGTTCTTTTTTTCCAGGAATAAATTAAAACTAATGTATGAGGAACTATTATAGATAATGCATTGACACAGTAGGCCACTAAAAACAGAAAAGGTAGAAATCATAATAGCTCTATACCAATTTAAACTTTATGTGTCTAAGATATGACACATTTAATGGAAGCCTTGAGGGCAAAAATGAAATTAAATAATATACACAAAGATGAAGGATCTAATTTTTCCTTTTAATAAGTTATTTTACATGTTATTAGAGACCGTAAAATAGTAATAGATTGATGTAGGGTACTGATATTTTATATAAAATACATTCCTGTTTTATGACCACATGTTAGTCTTGATCTTTTTCTTGTACCATGAAGGAACTACTGCTCTAAGGAAAAAAGGACAGCTACATGAGGACCACACAACTCCTGGAAGAGGTTTCCCTGGCAACACAACTTTTCCATTCATCTGGTTGCAGTGTTTTCATCCAGTAGCCTGTCACCTCACTCAAAAGCAGGGCAATGGAGAGAAAGAAACTTACCAAGTTTTTTCTTTTAACTAGAGAGTAGCCTACTTATTGGGCCCTGCAATTAATTTCAGGTAACCAAGCATATGTCCCAGTATACCTTGCTTTATGATTACTTATATGGCTGTAAAATTTTCTTGAGAAAGATAATTTCTTAGAGTACATTTTTAATATAAAATTATCAGATTTGCCTTTCATTCCTACCTGAACCACCTTGCATATTTTTAGTCAGCTAGTATGTAATTTTTTACAAGTTTATATATTCTTTATATAAAGAACAAAATCTCCAAGATGGTATTCATACTGTACTGTGCCACAACTTACTAGATAGCACATAAATCTATAGAAAACTTTTATATTTGAAGCAAACATCCATAAATATAAATTAATATTCTTTGGTTTCCATAGATATTAACTTAGTCTTTAAAATTTATTAAAAATTTTTCCTGAATGCTTTTTAACTCTGTATGCATTTTTAATTAATATATAATCCAAGATTAATGTAATTTCTGTAACTCCTAAGACAGCCTCATAATCATATTTAAGCTCTAGATTTTAAAGTTAGCCTAAACAGTATACAATATAAAGATGGCATGCATTTTATAAATATAAAATAATACACTATTTAAAATAGAAGGAGAACCAGGCAGAGGTTCACAATGCCTTATTCAGAATTCTAAATTCCTATATCTTTGAGAACCAAAATGTTATTCATTTAATGGTTAAATCTGATTTGAGTTGACTAGGATGCTATATATAGTCTTTATAATCACATTATTTTGAATATCCATATATTTCACTGTCAAAATATGTGGCCACTCACATGTTTCAAGGGATATATAATATACACAGCATTACTTCCCTGAAATACCAAAACCTCTGACTTTTGTTCCCAAGTTTCAGTAGACATAAATAGACACGTCACTATGGACAGAGAAAATTTGCATATTGAAATAGAGTAATTGCTTTTAACACACTGAATAAAATAATAATTCATGAATCCAAACTGATATACACAACAAAGAAATAGGTAAGGAAAAAGAGAGAGCTCTTCCTTATGATAGGAAGATAGCTATGTTTATATCCATATAGATATAGATACATAGATATGGAAATATACAAGTGGAATTAGAAAATACTCAATGGTTGCTAATAACAACTGTTGGTAAACATTTGATGAGCATCAAACTTTTCTAGCAGTTTCAAATTACATTTCTTTTTTCTTATAAATCCAAAAGTTAAAATTTATAACTTTATAGTGGAGAAACCTAGTAGACACCAACTTAAGAACCTGACATTTAGCATCACTAATACTGAGAAAAATCAGTTTTATATTCCTTTTGATTTCATTTACTGAGAACAAAAGAAAAAATATCACTTCCAGAGCATTCTCACTAAAAATGTATAAAGTAAATCTAATCATGAAAAAATACCATATAAATCCAGATTGAGGGACAGTCTACAAAATAACTGACCTTCACTTCTCAAAAATAATTTCAAAATAAGGAAAGACAAAGAAAAATTGAGGAATTGTCTCAGTTTACAGTAGATACATGACAAATAAATGTCATTCCACTTCATATAATTTTGATGCAGATAAAATAAGCATTCACCTCCTTAAAGAGAAAGCAGTAAGAGACATTATTTAGTCAGGGAAGTTATAAAGTGTTCCTTCTGTGGCTAATAATCATTGGAAACAGTGGAGGAAAGAAGAAGAGAGAATGTGAATGTAATAAAAGAAAATTAAAGCGAGTAAAAGAAAAAAATACAGGCAAGTCTGGTAAAAGAATTAAAAGTCATCTAAAAATATTTAGTCCTAGATACCCAAGAAACAACTAAGTTATTGTATTACAGTATAGAACATAATTGGTTTTAGCCAATATAAAAATATTTCAAATAATTTTGAAAGATTTAAATGACTCAGCAATCAAAATGTTTAAAGCGTACAAACATAAAGTACCTTTGAAGTACTTAAGTAAAACGTGCATGTTTTATGAGAAGCAGCCCCTTCAATAGCGTGCAATGTGTATGTGTCTCAAACATATTTTCCTGATAAGAGATTTTTGTCATGAGGAATTTTTCGATGGGACTGTCATGCTGGTTTTAGTTTAAATAAAAATCAAAGGAGAGTGAAAGAATGTTAGGAAATTTCCTCTGCAATAAAATTGTTTGTTATCTTTTAACTAAGAATTAAGCAAACCAGAAAAACAAAGCATTTCTCCGATAAATACAAACTAATTAAGGGTAACCTATCAAGTAAAAGTTAGAGCTGCCTAACATAATTAATTTTTAAACTTTTCACTTTGAAATAAGTATGGATTCATCCTGCATACTCTTCACCTAATTTTCTCCAATGATTACATTTTATATAACTATAGTACAGTATCAAAGCCAGGGACTTAACATTTGTACACTGCATGTGTGTATGCTTGTAAGTCCTTACAGCAATTACTTAAAGTTCAGTGATATTAATATTAATATTTCATATTCTTAAGATTTACTAAAGATAGCTCCAAATCTGTTTAAATAGTGATTAATATTCACTAAGTATAGGCAATACATTTTTAACAAAATTGCCACATTTTATTGTTTACTTAATTTTAAATATCTATACCTTAAATGTATATACACTAAATATATTTAGATGTTAGAGATGCAGCTGTGACAAGAGACAATAATCCTTGCTTACTAATATTATCGTGTGTATGTGTATGTGTGTGTGTGTGTGTGTGTGTGTGTATGAAAATAAAAATAAAGTATACAAAATGGGTCAGATACTATTAAATCCTATGGGGGGAAAAATACAGTGAGGAAGGAGGAAGTGAAATGGTTAAGTAATGGTGCAATGTTATATAAGTGAGCAAGGAAGGATTAGCAGATAACTGTGTAAAGACCTGAAAGAACTGAGAGAACTAACTGTGGTTTTTGTTGTTTGTTTGTTTGTTTGTTTGTTTGTTTTTAAGTACTCCAGGCAGATTTATAAAGGAAGCTGCTGGAAGGAATTCATTCCCTTTTTGCTGTTCTGCCTTCCACCTTCCACTGTGTGAGGACACTGCAAGAAAGCCCTCATCAGACACCAACTGCCAGCACCTAGATCTTGGAATTCTCAGCCTCCAGAACTGTGAGAAACACGTTTCTGTTTTTCTATAAAATAATAATAATAAAAAACTTCCATGCAGGAAAAAAAATCAAGTTCAAAGGTCCTGTGGTGAGGGCATACCAGCTTTGTTTGAGAAGCAGTAATCATGCCTGTGTGACTGTAATGAAAGAATAAAAGAGAAATGAGCACAGAAGAATATAATGTAGTCCTTTTCATTTTAAGCAAGAAATTTGGCTTCAATTCTAAATGTGATAAGAAAAAAACAGAAGGTTCCAAACTGAGAAGTGACATAATATGAAATGTTTTAACAGAATCACCTTGTTACCATATTGCAAATAAAATGAAAGTGCATCAAGGGCAGAAGTAGGAAGGCAAGTTATGAGGTCATTTTGATAATCCAGAGGAGCTGGGATGATGACTTACAGCAGTATAGTAGCAAGGGTTGGGTGAGAACGTGGAATCCTGGGTATATATTAAAGTTTCAGCAAAAAGGATTTATAGATGAAACAGATATGGGTTATGAGAAAGAGTCAAGTTAAAGATTATATCAAAATTTTTTATCTGAACAACTGGTAGTATTGTGGTGAATCCTTACCCCATCAATTTACGTGACCGATAACTGAGTGGGAACATTAAGGAAGGGATGGTTTGAGTGAGAATCAGGATCTCAGTTTGGAAATATTAAGTTGAATATGCCTATTTAATAATCAAATGAAAAATAGTATTTTTGTAATTTTCAGTATTTATTTGGCAAGAGATTAAATAATCTATAGCATTGTTACTACTTTCTCTTTTTCATAAAAGTTATTTTGGTATAAAATCAACCTGACTGGGAACTATCCAAATATATAAGCCTTTAGCTTTGACCTATTACTTATATTTTTTTGCCATTAATAATATGAACATCCACTAAACAAGAACTTGAGACTATAACTCTTCTCTATTAAATCTTCATATTAAATTAGCCATTTAAATAGGATTATTATTTTCATTTATTGCTGAATACTTTCCATTACATTCAAACTTATTGAGACATCCTTAAATTTTGTAATTTATTTAACGGATTAATTCCTTAGCTTCTAAACTGGTTTTCTGTACGGCAACCCTATTTTCTTCTTAATAACTCATCATCTACATCCCCCAATGTCTTATTTTTCCAAAACAAAAGTGCACTAATGCCCTTCTAGGGCAAAAATTTCTTTAATGGCTTTCTATTGTTATAGATAAAGTTCAAACTTATTATGACGGCCTATAATTTTGGGGAAAAAACTCACCTAAAAACAGTTTTTAAAAGATTAGAATTCAAATGCTTGAAATTTCAGTTATTTTATGAGCTTTCTATTCAAACATTTCAGGGAGCTAAGACATTACATACTACACTACTACTACTACTACAAATAATAATAATAACAACAATTATAGTTACTCATCTCAGTTTTGGCAGAGGATACCATTTATATAAAGAATGTAATTTGATTGTAGCTATTAAAATAGTTACTAGACAAGAACTAGGATGATGGTAACATTGACTTTTTATCTGAATCCTGGCTATATGTTTTCTGTTTGAAAAAAAAGTCATTAAGTATAAAATTATAATTTTTATAATTTTGGAATACATATTATAATAACACATTTTTTTTAAACTGAGAATTTAAGATTTAAAAAGTACAGTAGGGGAAAGAAAAGGAAAATATATTTTCTATGTGCTTGTTTTAATAAATAATGCCACCGAGGATGTAAGTTTTCAATGTCTAATTATTAAATCAGCATTACTTTCATTATTTTAACAACCTTCATGGGGTTCTTATATTGAGACTCAAATTAAATATGTAATATTAATCCTAATATAGCTATTTTTTCCTAACAAGAGCATAAAACTTCCAAAATTTCATTCTGCATATTTATAACTGAATTTATGACTGACATATTTCTTTTTCAAATCATGTCCATCATTATATGAACGGGTACTGAATTTATCCATATTTACTTACGTCTTTCTTCAGCCCCTCTGTCAACCCACTTATCTTTTTGATAGCTCAGTGAGCTGGCACTAGTTTTGTACCTCAGGATGTTTACTCTGGCTAATTTTGCCACTGATCTTCTAATGTCTGGTGCTTGGCAATAAAGTCCCAGTTGGAGTTTTCAACCAACAGCAGTTTGCATTCAGTTACTTAATCTCTGTTTTGCAATCTTAGTACCTTCCTTTCTGATTGAATGAAGACAGTTGCTCCTAGGGATACCTGAACCTGAAATGAACTGAAAATATTTTATAGCTTTTCAATTTGCCAGGCAGTAGAAGAAAAATTCATACCAATCCCATTGCTACAAACAGCTGTTACTATAAGGTGATATTGCTATGGAATCCTAAAATAGAACAAGGCAAATACCATCCCTGTGAGGGTTCTACTATATTTTGTGGATCTCCAGCTGGAAACTTAATTGTAATATAAACTGAGCATACAGAAACAGCTTTCCTGCTTCTATTCAGCATACTTTCACTGAATTGGATAATTTAATCAATAAGTTACAACACTCTTTAGTGTGAAGCTGCATAAAATTCTAGAAGGAGAGAAAATTTGATCTTTGATTTCTATTATCTTTATCTTCCTGCATTATATTCTTCCATGACTTTAGCTAATACCTCTCCCCATCACAATAAAGTCTTTAAACACTTAGAATCTATTTTCTGTTTCTTGTGTCCATATCCTATAACCAAAGACCACCAGGAACACCCCTGAGTTTATTCTTGTTTACAGCAATAAATACTTCACACAATGGGGAAATGTGAAGTTATCTCAGTAAGAGAGTATTAAAAGAACCTATTGTATCATTTGGGATTTGGTTATTTGGGGAAGAAATTAAGGAAGCAAGACTGCCCTGGATTGTCTGTTACCAGGAAGTGGGAGCAATTTTATGATTAGGTATGTCACCAAATCTTATCTATATGGATGACATACTAGAGTGAGGCTAATGTAATTGAGGATAAGGTAACTGCTAAAGAAACAACAGTCACTTGTATCTGGTATGTTGTGATTTGGACAACGTTCCTGTTTTGTTTATGCTCAGATAAAATTAAGGATTGTTGTTGTTTTTGTCATTGTCCATCATGATCATTGAATGGTCGTATTTTATTTTAGGGTTCTGTGAAATAGTTTATGTTCAACAGGAGACTTAAAGACTTAGCTGAGAGTCCCAGTCCAGGTCCTGAATGTCAGGGCCTCCATTTTTACTTTCTCACTTGTATCTACTAACAAATATTAATAAAATGTTGCACAGTAAAGTATAAATGTAAAAAGGAAATAGTATGAAATTAAGATAATTCCTCATAGGGATATTGCTTGATTATTTATTATGGAAAGACCTGCAAGACAACAGCATCAGTCTTTAATAGTAGAATCATTTTTTCACATCAAATTCTGGGGAGGATGGTATTAATCAAGGCAATCGGCAATGTCAGGTAGAGGTTTTAATATACCTCTAAAAATTTGGCAAATATAAGGTCAGTCTTTTTTGCCCTCTTTCTATTTGCACTTGTAATCTTCTATGTGTTTTGTTTCTAAGTTAGAGCATTTCTAAATTAAAGAAACTGAAGACACATTTAAAATATTCTAAGATCAAAATATAATTTTCGATGCCATTACTACGCTATATTAAAAATTATCTTTATTTTATGCTGAATATATAATACTTCTATACAAGAAGCCTCTTTACCTTACTTGATTGAGACAATTATTTGATTAGTCAATTGAAAAATTAGGTTAAATCGGGAAACCATAAAGCAGCAAAAAATGTAGCCATATATTAAAAGTTGTTTTTTAATTTAAAACATATACAGAAGTAAACTAGTTCAACCATTGTGGAAGTCAGTGTGGCGATTCCTCAAGGATCTAGAACTAGAAATACCATTTGACCCAGCCATCCCATTACTGGGTATATACCCGAAGGATTATAAATCATGCTGCTATAAAGACACAAGCACACATATGTTTATTGCGGCACTATTCACAATAGCAAAGACTTGGAACCAACCCAGATGTCCAACAATGATAGACTGGATTAAGAAAATGTGGCACATATACACCATGGAATACTGTGCAGCCACAAAAAATGATGAGTTCATGTCCTTTGTAGGGACATGGATGAAGCTGGAAACCATCATTCTCAGCACACTATCGCAAGGACAAAAAACCAAACACCGCATGTTCTCACTCATAGGTGGGAATTGAACAATGAGAACACATGGACACAGGAAGGGGAACATCACACACCGGGGACTGTTGTGGGGTGGGGGGCGGGGGGAGAGATAGCATTAGGAGCTATACCTAATGCTAAATGACGAGTTAATGGGTGCAGCACACCAACATGGCACATGTATACATATGTAACAAACCTGCACGTTGTGCACATGTACCCTAAAACTTAAAGTATAATAATAATTAAAAAAAAAGTACATGAATGCATGAAAAGAAAAAAAAAAGTAAAAACAAAACGTATACAGACACTGTATGATGTAAAGACAACGTCTTTACTTTGAGACTTTATTGGCTGATTTGTATTCCACCTTTTTCACATAAAACTCATCTTAAGTCTTTAATTACAATATCTAACCTTGTTTCCATTAGGTGAAGTGAGAAGTCCAGAAGGTGTAGAGTAGAAGACAGAGATGGCTACCAGCCACGGTAGTCCAGCCGGTACATTTTCAAAATGAAATGGAAAACTTTAGATTGCTTATGTAATTACATATTAACAGAGCTTCTGTATATTCAATATATGAAGACACAGTCTATTTAGTTAGGCTGTTATATATTATCTATAAGGATTATAATTATTTTTAAGTATTTTAAAAATCTTATGCCATAAATCTTAATGTGTATTCATTATATATGATATTTTATTCATTTACTTCCTCTTCTTGTTTAGGATACTACTTTAAAGTAGTTTGGGAAATTATGAATAAAGACAAATTCTTAACAGTAGATCTATTTAATTTGCTAAATTGTGCTTATAATTAGTTTAAAAAATATATATATATACACCCACAGAAGTAAAATACTATACTTATGCACCATAGAAGGGCTTTTCAGTCAGTGATGGACTGCATATACGACAATGGTCCCATAAGATTATTACACTGTATTTTTACTGCACCTTTTCTATGGTTAGATATGTTTATATACATCAATACTTACCATTGTGTTACAGCTGCCTACAGGCTTGTAGCCTAGGAACAATAGACTATATCTTAAAGCTTAGGTGTATTGTAGGCTGTACCATCTAGGTTTGTGTAAGTACACTCCATAATGTTTGCACAACAACAAAATTGCCTAACAAAGCATTTCTCAGATTGCATATACCTATTGTTAAGCGACACAAGACTATATATTCACAGCTTTTCCTAAATACTAACGATATGACAATGATCTTCCTTGTCAGCTATGCTGTCAGTCAAAACAGATGTGATTGTTCTCTACTGGCATTTGACAGAAACAACTGAGATTAGAAGATAGAGAGATGGGTTCCGGACTCCAAGTGAATCTGTGCAGCTTTCAATTCCAACCAATCAGTGACACCTGCATGTTGTAATCATTCTCCTTGGTTACAAGTGCTGGCAGAAACTAGAGACCTGTTTTTCAAGCTAGAGCAAAAAGAGCCAAATATAAATGTGAAAATTCTCTTTATAGAAAAAAAATCTTCCTTTAAGGAAAAAATAAAGAGGAAAGGATAGAGCTGTGTTTTGTTCATATTTTTAATTATTTTGCAGGAAGGTCTATTACTGTTAAACACACCAATGAAGGATAAACGTGGT
This sequence comes from Homo sapiens, assembly GCF_000001405.40. NCBI lineage: Eukaryota > Metazoa > Chordata > Mammalia > Primates > Hominidae > Homo > Homo sapiens. The sequence continues at coordinate 194,425,251 of NC_000002.12, forward strand.
AGGTGTGTTATCTTCCCTGGTCGGTAATAAGAATTCAAACTGCAGCCCCGTATGCAGCATGAGGTTTAAACTGCTGTATCGGTGCCTACCATACCAGTCTCCTTTTTAGTTACTTGTTAGAGCTGTGTGAACCTTTCATCTTATGAAACTTGCCAACTTTAGGAATATTTTATGAGTTACTAGCTTTGCAAGTTTGCAGAATACATTCAAACATCACTTTTACAGGCAGCAGGACTACAAATGTTTCTCTATAGATCAAAAAAAAAGATATAAAAAGGAAACTATGAGAAGAAAACTAGCAGCATTTCCTCATTGTTTCTTAGTAAACCCCCTGGTTTTCTGTAACTTGAAATGAAGTCTGGCACTGAGTTTGGGGTGAGTAGAGGATCCTCCTGAGTTTATCATTCTCAATCAAGCTTTTCTCAAGAATAGCAAAGACAATATAAAAAATAAGCATCCTCAATTTTTTTTTCAGGTATTAAACAGCCACCCTTGGGTGAAAATAATATATTAACTAAAAATTTAGTATTTTTATTTCTCCTTTTCCACCTAATTACCCCTATTTAATATTCTAATAAGTTATTAATAAGTAATATTCATTCAATGTAGTAAATGATGTAATATGCCAAAGTGTTATATTTATAAAGTTTCAGGGAGCATGATTAAAGTATACTTTTCTTTTCCAAATGTCCACAGTAGTAAAAATGCCTGGCGAACCCCAGAAGGCAATGAGGACAGCCAAAAGTTAGATGTGATTAATAAGAAAAGGGTGGTATTAGATCATGAATTGAAGTCTTCTGAAAATTTGACCTGTAGAACTAGCTCAGTGAAAAAAACTAAAAACGATTTTGAAAGCACACCTAAACAAGGAAAAGAAAATATCTATAGAACATGAAGGACACTTCAGGGTCTCCGTATAGTTGATATTTTTACTTCTACTTTATATGTGTTCTTCCTTCACATACTATTCAAGGTTGGTTTATGAGGTCTCAATAGAAATTTGCCCCTGAATTCTTCCAGAGGAAGGCATGACCCCAGCCAAACAGCACATTAAAAGGTGCATGTCTAGAGCCTATTTGGAATAAATCTCAGAAATTGTGGAGATATAAATAAAAGATCTTTTTCAGCTAAGCACCAAGCACTGACCATGAAAGATCATGGTAAATCTGACTGCACCAGAGTAGTAAATCAAGTTGCCAGCAGAAACAACACCGTCCAAAACTTCCCAACCCCACATGCCAGAAAAAGTTAACTCTTTTAATTGGTCTTTGCTGGAGCACCCTTGATTTTATCAGCATGTTGTTCCTAAAATTGAAGTGTTGTTGATTGCTTTTCCTAGAAGATAGAAGGAGAAACCCATTTTTGTTGCTCATCTTTCAGATGTAACAACTGGTTAAACCAAGAAAATATTCACTGCACTGTATCTCATGTACTACTAAATGAGACCTTGACTTAAACTAGAAATGCAAATATGCATAAATATAAAGGAGTATTTCTAGTTTAAGTCAAACTACTTAACTTATATTAACATAACCATTAATAATATTATGTATTAAAAAATGATAAATCTGGGAAAAGCTCAGCCAAACAGAATGCCAGAACAATAAATATAAACCCTGACTGTCCTGGGAAACCCAAGACATGCAAATGATCTATGAAGAATTATAACACTGATAGTTTATTGGTGGGGATGAGTAATGTACATATAACAATCTGTGACCTTTGGCTAATATGTAACAAAAACATGACTTTATTATTTTATCAGTAAACATCCTTCTACAGACTCTCAAGCAACAAGCACTATGATACATTTTAAGAATATGAAAACAATCTGGATAAAATTCCTTATCCTAAAATTACCTTTATGATGGAAGAAGACATGTTTGCAGATGGTTACAACACAAATATTACAAATAAGGTATAAACAAAATATAACAGGAGCTCGGGATATTGAGTACTTTGCTCTGGTTGTGGATGTAGGAGTGGAGGAAATCAGAAAAGTTTAAAAAAATAAAACTTAAGCTGCAAACCAATTAAATAAGAGATACTTGACAAGTAGCTAAAAAAAAGGAGGAGCTTATTAGAGAGTAAGAGAATAAAAAACATGGAAGCATAAGGCCTGTCTTAACTGTTTTGTGCTGCTATAACAGAATACCTGAGACTAGGTAATTTATAAAGAACAGATACTCATTTTCTCATAGTTCTGGAGGCTGGACAGTTTAACATCAAATGCTGGCATCAAGCGAGAGGGCATTCCTGCTAAGTTATCTTACAGTAGAGGATGAGAGAGGACAAAAGAGAGCAAGGGCTGAATTCACTCCTTTATAAAGTGAACCCACTCCTGTCATAACAACATTAATTCATTATGAGGATGGAGCTCTCATGCTTAATCACCTCTTAAAAGTCCCATCTCTTAACACTGTTACAATGGGAATTAAATTTTGACATAAAGTTTGGAGGTGACATGCAGACTGTATTATTTTGTCCTGCTTCTCCAAAACTCATGTCCTTCTAAAATACAATATATTTTAATTCCATCACAATAGCCTCCGAAGTCTTATTTCATTCTAGCATCAACTCAAACGTTCAAAGTCCAGAGTATCATCTAAATTAGATACGGATGAAGTCAAAGCACAGTACATCCTGAGGCAACTCTCCCTTCAGCTATGGGTCTGTAAAATTAAACAAGCTAATAACTTCAAAGACACAGGATAGATATTCTCATTCCAACAAGAGCAACAGGCAAAAAAAAAAAAAAAAAGCAACAGATCATGAGAAAAAAACAGCAACTATTAAAATTCCTGAATAATCTTCCTAGACTTAATGTTCCACCTTCCAGGTGCTGGGGCAGGGGTGGGGGTTCCCAAGTCTTCAAGAAGCCCCATTCTCTGGCTTGGTTGGGCCCCCAAGCCTTCAGGCGGCCCCATCCCTTTGCAGAGCCTAGCTGTCCTGGGTAGGAGTTCTCCGAAGCTGGAATTGCACACTGGTAGCTCCACAGTTGTGAGAACTCGGAGGCAGGCCTGCTTCCATAGCTCCACTAGGCATTACCCTAGTATAGTCTCTGTAGCACCTCCACCCCTCCAGTAAGTCTCTGCTGGGCCCCAATGCTGTCCACAACATCCTTTAAATCTAGGTAGAGAAAGCCATGCCTCCATAGCTCTTGCATTCTGTAAGTCTGCAGAATTATCACCATGTGGATGTCTCTAAGATTTATAAATTATACTTGCTAGAGTGGCAGCCTGAGCAGCACCTGGGCTGGTTCAAGCCAAGGTTGGAGCGGCAGAGGAGTACTGTGCCAGAAGGCAGGGAGCAGAGAAGTGGTGTAGCAGTGAAGGCTGAGATTCCACAAGCACCTGTCAGAAACCTTACCCTAAAGGCCTTAGCTTACCCTGAAGATCTCTGAAATGCCTTTCAGGTCATTCTCCATTGCCTTGATGAATTCAATATGTCTTCATATTATTCATACTATACTCTAGCAACTGGTCACTTGGCTACACCCTTAGTCTTTTCTCCCAAACATACTTTTTCATTCTTTACATGGTCAGGCTAAGAAATTTCTAAATCTTTCCTTTCCGCTTCCCTTTTAATTATAAATTTTATCTTTAACATTTCTTTTGCATTTTACTGTAAGTCCTAAAAGAAGTCATGCTGCACCCTGAATATGTTGTTGCTTAGATTTTTCTTTTGCCAGACATAGTAGTTCATGGCTTTTAAATTCTGTCTTTCATAAAACCCTAAGACATGAACACAATTTAGCCAAATTCTTTGCCACTTCATAAAAAAAAATGGATTTTACTCCAGTTTCCAATAGGCTATTTCTCTTTTCCATCTGAGACCTCATCAGAATGACCCTTCCTGTCCATATATCTACCAACATTCTAATCATGACCACTTAAGTAATATCTAAGAAGTTTGAGACTTTCTCTACAGCTTTCTTCTTCTGAGCCATCACCAGAATCTCCTCATCATTTTGTTTCTGGCAATCTAGTCTTTTGCTGGCCTGCTACTCCAAATTCTTCCAACCTTTACCTATCATTCAATTCCAAAGTTGCTTTCACATTTTCAGGTATTTGTTACAGCAGCAGCCTTACTTCTCAGTACAAATTTCCTGTCTCAGTCAGTTTTGTGTTGCTATAACAGAATACCTGAGACTGGGACATTTTTAATGAACAGAAATGTATTGGCTAATGGTTCCAGGGGATGAGAAATCCAAGATCAAGTGGCTGGTATCTGCTGAGGGCCTTCTTGTTGCATCATTTGTGGCAGAAGGTGAAAGGGTGAGAGAGAGAGAGATAGAAAGAGTGAGGACCAAACTGGCCCTTTTAAAACTAATTCACTACCACAAAAAGAAACCCACCCCCATAATAATGGCATTCATCTGTTTATGACAGTGGAGCGCTTATGGCCTAACAACCTCTTAATGGTCCCAACTCTTAATTTTGTTAAAAGTGCAACAAAATTTCAACATAATATTTGGAGGGGACATTCAGACCATAGCAAGGCCTAAGAACATGGTGTACAGCTGGTCCTCAAATTACCGTGTTTCAACTTACAGTTTTTAACTTGACAATGGGTTTATTGGGATGTATCCCTCATTGTAAGCCCCTGAGCTTCTTATGACTAAAAATGGAGGCACAGTTTCTACTAAATTCATACTGCTTTTGTATAACCCTAAAGCCAGTCAATTATAAGTCAAACCATTGTAAGTCTAGGACTGTCTGCTGTGTTGCCAGCATTAAATGCATTTTTGACTTACGATATTTTCAACTTATGATGGGATGGAACCGTATTGTAAGTTGAGAAGCACTTGTATTTGATACTCCAGAAATTATTTAGTTCCCAGAAACTGTCAGAAAAACTTGTTCATAGATTACATTTTAGAGAGCATTTTAATGAGGTCATTTGGTTTAACTAAAATAATAATATGGCTTATTTTCAAATACCACTTGACAGTTTAAGAAATAATTTATATATGCCACTTTATACATTACTATAATATTCCTATAAAAGTGGCATAAAATGGCTTAATAACTTTAGATTAACTTTCTTATAAAACTATTAGAACCTTTTAAGCATTATTTTCACCAGGGTGAAATAACTAACATTCATGTTGAGATAATTCAGCAAATACACTTATTAGATCTTTTTCAAAATCTGTTATTTGGTAGTCTTTCAGCAAATGTATTGGTGCTTTAAGATTTTTGATATATCAGATAATTTTAAAAGGTTAGTTTTTAGTATGTGAATTTAAGATTCATTATTTTCAACATAAAACTTTTTATTTAAATTATGCAAGGTGTTATATTTTATTAAAATGAGAAAAATGCTATAATAGGAATAAAATTCTCTAAGGAATTAAAGTGCATTTTATTTCCTTTTTGTACTCTACAGCAATTTCTAATTTTAGTGTTTATTTTTAAAATATGGAGGCAACCTCACTATGAAAATTTTATAAGTTGAACCCAACGATAAACAACTTGCATTGATTCCCACCTGTATACTCAGAGAGCCAAGAGAGTACTTTTGTTTAATTAAACAAAATTCAATTTCAAAATAAATTTAGAAGTACTTACCTTCAAAATAATGGAATTTTGTACTTCTCTCTAAACCCTTTGCTTGTCAAGTTTTTCTCATTAGTTAGATAAGCATTTACATTATGTCATTAAAACATTTCTTCTTTACTTAATAAAAATTGCTCAATTCTAAGATGGATATTTTTACCTAAGTACAATATATTCTGTTTTCCTATGATGTCCTACTTTTAAATATCTTAGTTTATCATGCCCTTTGTTTTGACTCTAATGCCTGGTATTGATGTTGGATATTTTATATATCTGAATCATTAAGTACATAATGAATTATATCACATTTTCCCCACCCTCTCAAATTAAGTAGAAAGAGAAATATTAACAATATTTATGACCTATATAAATGTGGAATATAATGTGGAAATCTGATAACATCCTACTTATGCGGGTCCATTAATTTACTTGGCATATATAATGAAGTATCAACAACCGAGTGCTTAAAACAACAGAAAATGATTGTTTCAGGCTGGAAGCTAGAAGTCTGAGATCTAGGTAGCCAGCAGGGTTGAGGCCGAGTTCTGTGTGACAGAATCTGCTCCACACTTGTTCCCTAGCTTCTAGTGGTTTTCTGGCACTCTTTCCTGTTCCTGGACGTATATGAAAATATACCATTTTGATTGCTGCCTTTATTTTCACATAGTAGGGTGTGTATGTGTGTCTGTCTCTATGCTGAAATGTACCATTTTTATAAGGATACAATTACATTAGATTAGGATCCACTATAATGAACTCATTTTAACTCGATCATCTGCAAACACCTTATTTCCAAATAAGAAAAGCCACATTCACAGGGGGTTTGGGACTTTATATTTCTATTATTCAATCTATAAGAGTGGCTAAGTTTTTAAATGTTTTTCTTTAAGTAGACTAAATACTTAACTGTGTGTGACAACACCTGGGTTTATAGAATCCATCCTTCATCATTCCTTTTTTTTTTTTTTTTGAGAAGGAGTCTGGCTCTGTCGCCCAGGCTGGAGTGCAGTGGCGCTATCTCAGCTCACTGCAAGCTCCGCCTCCCGGGTTCACACCATTCTCTTGCCTCAGCCTCCCGAGTAGCTGGGACTACAGGTGCCCGCCACCAAGCCCAGCTAATTTTTTGTATTTTTAGTAGAGATGGGGTTTCCCCATGTTAGCCAGGATGGTCTTGATCTCCTGGCCCCGTGATCCGCCCGCCTCGGCCTCCCAAAGTGCTGGAATTTCAGGCATGAGCCATCATTCTTGAAGAACTCATGTTCTAAGCCTTTGGAAATATACCTGAGTATTCAGGCCCTGCTCTATCTAATGTACATCAGGAATGAAGGTGAGGTGTTCAAGGAAGAAAAGATTGAAATGATAATTTATAAAAGAACTTTCAAGAAAAGCAGAAATATTTACAAAAATTGAAATGAAAAATGTAAAAGTTCTCTAGAGAAAGTGGTAAAAATGGAAACATCATAAGGAATATCCAATTTATAATTGAAGAATTTAAAAAAGTCCAATTATGTCATTGATTTGTAATGCCCATCAATGACAGGTTAGACAAAGAGAATGTGATATGTATACACTGTGGAATACCATGCAGCCATTAAAAAATGAGGTAATGTCTTTTGCAGGGATATAGATGGAGCTGGAGGCTATTATCTTTAACAAACTAACACAGGAAGAAAAAAAACAAATACCACATGTTCTCATTTATAAGTGGGAGCTAAATGATAAGAATTTATGAAAACAAAGAAGGAAACAGCAGACATTGGGGTCTACTTGAGGGTGAAGGGTGGGAGGAGGGGGAGGAGCAGAAAATATAACTATTGGGTGGTGGGCTTAATACCTGGGTGATGAAATAATATGTACAACAAATTCTCGTGACATCTGTTTACTTATGTAAAAAAAAAAACCCTCATATGTACTCCCAAACCTAAAATAAAAGTTAAAACAAAACAAAACAGTCCAGGAGATCTTAATTCGTGGTTGTGTCTTCTGAGGGTTCATAGAAGCAATGACATTCAAATAGCAATCACATACCTAGAGCCAGATCAGGTTTTCTAAATATGATCTCTCTAGGACTTAGGAGTCTTTGAGAAATGCCTGATTTCAGGCTGGGCAGGAAAATTACAAGTAGAACCTAGAAAATGTTGTTGTTTCTGAATGTAAAAACATATTAAATACTAAAAGGAAATGAGACACAATAAGGACATAGAAACCAACATGAAGGAGCTCAATAGCAAATATGGTGCAATTCACCCTCAAATTAAATATGGGTAATAAAGTACTATAACCTCTTGAATTAATTAACCTATTATACCATTTTGAATAAATTATGTTTTGAATATATTTCACATAATATATACATTATATATTCAAATATATTTTTTGTGTGCCTGTGAGTGTGTGCGTGTGTGTTTGTATGTGTGTGGATGTGTAAAGCCCTTTCTTATAGTAGAGGGCCAAATAATAAATATAGAAAAAACCATTTGGCAACTATCAGTATCAAAATTAATGCAAGCAAAACTGATAGTGCATACTAAAAGTAGTGAGTGAAATTTTGAAGATTCAAAAGTATTACATTATCTCAATGTAACTTCTCACGAGACATCGGAAAACCCAGACAGAAGCAATTTTAAAAAGTGATCATGTTGGCTGGGCGCAGTGGCTCAGGTCTGTAATCCCAGCACTTTGGGAGTCCGAGGCGGGCGGATCAGGAGGTCAGGAGATTGAGACCATCCCATTCTGGCCAATACGGTGAAACCTCATCTCTACTAAAAATACAAAAATTAGCTGGGCATGGTGGCGGGCGCCTGTAGTCCCAGCTACTCGGGAGGCTGAGGCAGGAGAATGACTTGAACCCGTGAGACAGAGATTGCAGTGAGCCAACATCGCGCCACTGCACTCCAGCCTGGGCGACAGAGCAAGACTCTGTCAAAAAAAAAAAAAAAAAACACGTTAACATAAACAGTATAAACAGTAATGAGATATCTTGATATATGATGCTAACTGACATGAGGCATTGAAAATAACACATCACTTCTGTGGTGTTCCTGATAAAATATTCACAATCTGAATCTGAAAACATCAGATAACTCAAATTGAGGTGCATTTTATGCACAGTCCTTGACCTTTTCTCTCAAAGCAAAAGGTAATATCCCAAAGTAAAGAGGCCAAAGAGACATAAAAACTGAATGTAATGCATGACCCAAAATTTTCTTTTTTCTATAAATTGCGTTATTGGGACAATTGCCAAAACTTGAAAAATGCCTTTAGATTAGATAATAATACCACAGGTTAAGTGTGTTACACTCAATAGAGTATTACAGAGAAAGAAGGCATAATATCAGAAATTCAAATGAGAGAAAGAGAGAGAAGAGAGAGATAGCAAGAGGGACAGGAGATGGGAGAGAATGAAAGAGGGTGGAGGGAAGAATGTAAGTAAGGAATATATAGAAATTTGGGGTACTATTTCTGCAAATTTCTGGATGTCTGAGATGTCCAAATTAAAAAATAATAGAAGTTACTCATTTAACCGATTACATGCTGGAGAATGAAAAGTGAAGAGAGAACAAAGTATTACTCTTAAATTTGAAGAAATGGGAAGTAAGTGGTGAAAAATTGAGAGACACGCGGGGGATAAAGAAGAATTTCGGTACCAGCTTAGATGCAGAGCTTGTACAGGGATGAAAACACTAAGAAAAAGCAGCAGCAACAGAGTCAGTTGGGAAGTAATGCGTTTATGAAATTTTATCAGTAGCAAACACTAAATGTGAGGAAGTGTGTGCAAAAAAGAAGATGGACATCCTGACAAGTATATGTAATGCAAAAATGCAGGCTGAGGAAAAAGAGATTTTTCTCAGTGAATTGAAGTATAGTATTATGCACATAAGGACATTAGCTGGTGACCTTTGCAGCACTGTTTTTATTATAAACATATTAGAATGCAGCAACTGGCAAGGGCTAGAGAAAATGGGATTACAGAAGTATATATGTTCCCAGAGGATCAACATATATCCTGGGCTTACACTGGGATCCTGTGGGTATTACTGATTGTTGCTTTGTTGTCTTAATAATAGAAGCTCTTGAATTTATGCTCTCTGGTTGCTGTCATGTAACCGAGCCTTATTAAATTTCTTCTGGCCCCAAGCTTTCTAGATTTTCAAGTTGCTCCTAATTTTGGAAATTGAACTTTGTTTCCATCTCTATGACATTCTAGGGTAAAGAAACACTTTGCAGGACTCATTCATCAGATTAAGGTCATCACTTTGACTATTTAGGCTTCAGTATCAAAACCTAAATTACTAACTACAAATTGAACGGGCTTACTGTATGGCCACATGTGAAAAAAATATTAGCTTTGACTTAATTTTATTCCCCCCATTTCTATTATATTTGAAAGAATTCTAGCTACCTTCTCACAATATTTAGACAGCAAGGCTTCACAGAATATTTAAATTGGATAAAGACTTCAATAAAAGACTCATCTATCTATTGACATCGTTAATTTTTTTTTTTGCATTCTCTTTGTGTATACCCCAAATTTTTCAGGCATAACTTCTTACATTTGCTGACTTCAATGTATAACATTATCTTATTATCCTAAAGGATCTATCAAAATAAAATGTGAACATTTGGTTCTATGGTAGAAAATAATAAAGTTATTACTATTTCAATAATTTTTTGTGGTTCACTTAGGTTTAAATAGGTCAATTATAATTATTTTACACATGACATGTGTGAATATGTGTAAAATACTCTAAAACAGTCAACATGTAAACCATGTAGAACCTACATAGTTTACATGTTGACTGATTTAGAGCTGACTTGTTAATGTAGATAACTAAATCCAAATTTACAAATATTTTGTTCAGGTTTAATTATATTTACAATACTCAGAACAATCAAAAGATTTAAAATATTTTATATAACACTTCATTTATATTTTTAACTGTTTTACAATTTATCAATGATATTCTAATATTTTAACTAAATATTGGAAGTCTAAATAGACTGAATCTTAGAATGGTTGTTTTCAAGAGACAATTTTTTAAATGATTACAAGATATCATGTTTTAATGAATCAATGGACAGTTATTGAACAAGTACAAACTTCTCTGGATCGCTATTTTTCATCAAACTTCAATGCAGAATGACAGAAGTGTAAGAATGATGGAATATTTGGAGTATTGGCCAGTAAGAAAGCCTCACAAATAATCTTTATAACTTACCAAGAATTAAAAACTAGAAGGGTGGTAACTGAGAATAATTATGTAAACATTCATTAGGTAAATCCTGTATCTTTTAGCATTTCACATCCTTCAAATCACTGGGAAGAAAATTGCTATTCTTTGTTTCATGCCAATTTGGAAGGATTTTCAATTAATAAGCTTCAAAAGCTCAGTGATTATGCATCATGTGAAAGCAGCAAGTAAGGTTAAAACATTTCAATTTATTTTTATACATGAATCTTATTTTTTACAGATGTCTTTATGTATTTTATTATATATTTAAGATATACAATATTATGTTTTGACATTTATATACAGTTAAATGGATACTATAATAAAGCAAATTACATGTAGTATCTCACATAGTTACCTTATTTTTGTGGTGAGAGCAGCTATAATCTACTCTCTTAGCAAATTTCCAGGACACAATACAGTATTATCAACTATACTCATCATGTTGTATATTAGATCTCTAAATTTATTCACCCTACATAACTGTAACTTTATACCCTTTGGCAACATCTCCCGACTCTTTCCTGTCCTCTCCCCCTAGCAATCCCCAGTAATCACCATTCTACCATCTGTTTCTATGAATCCAAATTTTATATTTTTGATTCCCCATATAAGTGAGATTATATAGTATTTTCCTTTCTGTGTCTGGCTTACTTCACTGCTATAATATCTTCCTGGTTCATCCATATTGTCAGAAATGTCAGCAGCTCCTTTTTTAAGGCTGAGTAATATTCCACTATATATAGACACACACACACATGTATATATATGCCACAATTTCTTTATCCATTCATTCATTAACAGAAAACTTAGTTTCCATATCTTCCAATTATTCCATATTGAATAATGCCTCAATGAACATGAAAGGGCAGGTATCTCTAGGAGATGCTAATCCTATTTCTTTTGCTGTATGCCCAGGAGGAGGATTGCCCTATGGTAGTTCTCTTTTTAATTTTTTTAATTTTAAATTTTTTATAGGTTATTGGGGTACAGGTGGTATTTGGTTACATGAGTAAGTTCTTTAGTGGTGATTTGTGAGATTTGGGTGCACCCATCACCCAAGCAGTATACGTGGCACCATATTTGTAGTCTTTTATTCCTCTCCCCCCGCCCACCCTTACCCCCAAGTCCCCAAAGTCTATTGTATCATTCTTACGACTTTGCATCCGTGTAGCTTAGCTCCCACATATCAATTAGAACATGCATTGTTTGGTTTTCCATTCCTGAGTTATTTCACCTGGAATAATAGTCTCCAATCTCATCCAGTTCGCTGTAAATGCCATTAGTGCATTCCTTTTTATGGCTGAGTAGTATTCCATCATATATGTACGTGATTATATATATGTGATATATATATATGTATGTGAGATATGTGTATGTGAGATATATATATATATCACAGTTTCTTTACCCCCACTCATTGATTGATGGATTGATGGGCAATTGGGTTGGTTCCATGATTTTGCAATTGTGAATTGTGCTGCTATAAGCATGCGTGTGCAAGTATCTTTTTTGCACAAAGACTTATTTTCCTCTGGGTAGATACCCAGTAGTGGGATTGCTAGATCAAATGGTAGTTCTACTTTTAGTTCTTTAAGGAATCTCCACACTGTTTTCCATAGTGACTGTACTAGTTTACTTTCCCACCAGCAGTGTAGAAGTGTTCCCTGATCAATGCCTTCATGTCAACATCTACTGTTTTTTTGATTTTTGAATGTGGCCATTCTTGCAGGAGTAAAGTGGTATCACATTGTAGTTTTGATTTGCTTTTCCCTAATCATTAGTTACGTTGATTTTTTTGTTCGTTTGTTGGCCATTTGTATGTCTTCTTTTGAGAATTGTCGATTCATGTCCTTAGCCCATTTTTTGATGGGATTGGTTTTTCTTACTGATTTGTTTAAGTCTATTGTAGATAATTTTTCATTTTTTGAACAACCTCCATATCGTTTTCCATAATGGCTACACCTATTTATATCATTACCAATTTTGTATGAGAGAGTTTCCTTTCCTCCACACCCTTGCCAACACTTGTTATCTACTGTCTTTTTACTAATAGGCTTCCTAAGAGATGTGAAATGATACCTATTGTGGTTTTGATTTGCATATTCCCTAGTGATTAGTGATGTTGACCACCTTTACATTTACCCATTGGCCATGTTTATGGCTTCTTTGAAGAAATATCTATTCAGGTCTTTTGTCCGTTTTTTTGTTTTGTTTTGTTTTGTTTTGTTTTTAATGGGGTTATTTGTTTCTGGGCTAATTTCAGGATTTGTAATGAACATAAAAATTAATCACATTTTTACGCCAATAATGGCCTACCTGAAAAAGAATTAAAAAAAATCCTATTTACATGGCATCAAAAAATTACATACTCAGATATAAGTTTAACCAAGGAGGTGAAGTATTTGACTATAAAACATTGATTAAAGAATTTGAATAAAATACAAATAAATGGAAAGATAACCTGTGTACATAGATTGGAAGAATTAACATTGTTCAAATGTCCATAGTACCCAAAGTAATATACAGATTCAACACAATCCTTATCAAAATACTAATGGCATTTTTCATAAAAATAGAAAAAAAATTCTACAATTACACAAAACCATAGGACATCTTGAGCAGCCAAAGCAATCCTCAGAAAAAAATGTTGGAGGCATTACACTTCCTGATTTCAAATTATATCACAAAGCTACAGTATGGAAATGGCATAAAAACACACACAGAGACCATAGGAACAGAATAAAAAACCCAGAAATAAACCCAAGCATATACAGTAAACGAATTTTCGACAAGTACACCAAGAGGACACAATAGAGAAGCAACAGCCTGTTAAATAAATGGTGTTGAGAAAACTGGATATCCATGTGCAAAAGAAGAAAATTGGACCCGTCTCTACCGTACACAAAAATAAACTCAAAATGGATTAAAGACCTAAAAGTAAGACCCAAAACTGTGAAAAAAAAAACTGCTAGAAGAAAACCTAGGGATAAACCTCCTTGATGTTGGCCTTGGATATAATTTTTTGAATATCACACAAAAAGCTCAGGCAACAAAAGCAAAAATAAACAAGTGGGACTACATCAAATTAAAAAACATTCTGCACAGCAAAGGAGAAATTCACAAAATGAAAAGATAGCCTGTAGACTGGGAGAAAATATTTTAGAACCATATATCTGACAGGGAGCTAATATCCAAAAATAGAATCTTGCAAACTTAATAACAAAAAAATCAATTTTTAAAAATAAAAATTTATGTAATAGTCCTTTCCCAAATAAATGCATTATTGAACTCTACCTATTTATACATAATACGCAATTTCAATATATCAAAAATTTCAAAAAGAAACAGAAATATTTTGAATATTCAGGTAGAAAGGTAAGTGAATAGGTATATTAATGAATGAATGGAGGAATGGATGGATATTAGATTAATAGAAACATACATAAATAAAATCCAAAGAGCAGCCACAGTCAAATGGTTAAACTCAAAGGTTATGAAATCCAATCATCTACATTTAAATACTAGTGATTTCATTTACTAGCTGTGTGAACTAGAAAGATTTACTTGATTTTTCTGTCTTGTTTTCTTCTTCTTTAGAACGGGGATGCTTAATTTGACTAGATCCATTGATATAATGTTGTGAATGTTAACAAACTAATACAGGTAAATGCTCCTATAGGTAGACTTATACTTGCTTGCCAGAGCTGCCTTAACAAGATGTTGTATATTGTGTAGCTTAAACAACAGGAAGTTATTTTCTCACAGTTCTGGAGGCTGTAAGTCCAAGACTAAGTTATCAGAAGGTTTGGTTTCTCCTGAGAACTCTCTTCTTGCCTTACAGACCACACTCTTCTTATTTTTTTTTTAAATTATACTTTATGTTCTGGGATACACGTGCAGAACATGCAGGTTTGTTACATAGATATACACGTGCCATGGTGGTTTGCTGCACACATCAAGCCATTACCTATATTAGGTATTTCTCCTAATGCTATCCCTCCCCTTGCCCCCCACCCCCCGACAGGCCACAGTGAGTGATGTTCCCTTCCTTGTGTCCATGTGTTCTCTTTGTTCAACTCCTACTTATGACTGAGAACATGTGGTGTTTGGTTTTCTGTTCCCATATTAGTTTGCTTTGAATGATGGTTTCCCACTTCATCCACGTCCCTTCAAAGGACATGAACTCCTCCTTTTTTATGGCTGCATAGTATTCCATAATGTATATGTACCACATTTTCTTTATCCAGTCTATCATTGATGGGCATTTGGGTTGGTTCCAAGTCTTTGCTATTGTGAATAGTGCTGCAGTAAACATATATGTGCATGCGTCTTTATAGTAGAATGATTTATAATCCTTTGGTATATACCCAGGAATGGGATTGCTAGGTCAAATGGTATTTCTGGTTCTAGATCCTTGAGGAATTGCCACACTGACTTCCACAATGGTTGAACTTATTTACACTCCCACCAACAGTGTAAAAGCGTTCCTATTTCTCCACATCCTCTCCAGCATCTGTTGTTTCCTGACATTTTTTTTTTTTGAGATGGAGTCTCACTCTGTCCCCCAGGCTAGAGTGGAGTAGACTGGCACAATCTCAGCTCACTGCAACCTCCACCTCCAGGTTCAAGCAGTTCTCCTGCCTCAACCTCCTGAGTAACTGGGATTACAGGCACACACCACCATGTCTGGCTAATTTTTGTATATTTTAGTAGAGATGGGGTTTCACCATGTTGGTCAGGCTGGTCCTCAAACTCCTGACCTCATGGTTCACCCACCTCGGCCTCCTGAAGTGCTGCGATTATAGATGTGAGCCACCGCATCCAGCCCTGACTTTTAATGATAGCCATTCTAACTGATGTAAGATGGTATCTCATTGTGGTTTTGATTTGCATTTATCTAATGACCAGTGATGATAAGCATTTTTTTATGTATGTTTATGTCTTCTTTTGAGAAGAATCTGTTTATATCCTTCACCCACTTTTTGATGGGTTTGTTTGTTCTTTTCTTGTAAATTTAAGTTCCTTGTAGATTCTGGATATTAGCCCTTTGTCAGATGGATAGATGGCAAAAATTTTCTCCCTTTCTGTAGGTTGCCTGTTCACTCTGATCATAGTTTTTTTTTACTGTGCAGAAGCTCTGTAGTTTAATCAGATTCCATTTGTCAATTTTGGCTTTTCTTGCCATTGCTTTTGGTGTTTTAGTCATGAAGTCTTTGCCCATGCCTATGTCCTGAATGGTATTGACTAGGTTTTCTTCTGGGGTTTTTATAGTTTTAGGTCTTACGTTTAAGTTTTTCATCCATCTAGAGTTAATTTTTGTATAAGGAAGGGGTCCAGTTTCAGTTTTCTGCATATGGCTAGCCAGTTTTCCCAACACCATTTATTAAGTAGGGACTCCTTTCCCCATTGCTTGTTTTTGTCAGGTTTGTCAAAAATCAGATTGTTGTAGATGTGTAGTGTTATTTCTGAGTCCTCTGTTCTCTTCCATTGGCCTATATATTTGTTTTGGTACCAGTACGTTGCTGTTTTGGTTACTGTAGCCTTGTAGTATAGTTTGAAGTCAGGTAGCGTGACGCCTCCAGCTTTGTTCTTAGTGCTTAGGATTGTCTTGGCTATACGGGCTCTTTTTTGGTTCCATATGAAATTTAAAATAGTTTTTTTTTTTTCTGATTCTGAAGGAAGCACTAAATATGGAAAGAAAAACTGGTACCAGCCACAAAAACATACCAAATTTTAAAGACCATCAACAGTATGAAGAAACTGAATCAACTAATGCAAAATAACCAACTAGCATCATAATGACAGGATCACATTCACACATAACAATAATAACCTGAAATATAAACGGGCTAAATGCCCCAATTAAAAGACACAGACTGGCAAATTGGATAAAGAGGCAACTCCCACCAGTGTGCTGTGTTCAGAAGACCCATCTAATGTGCAAAGACACACATTGGCTCAAAATAAAGGGATGGAGAAATATTGGCCAAGCAAATGGAAAGAAAAAAAAAAAAAGCAGGGGTTGCAATCATAGTCTCTAATAAAACAGACTTTAAACCAGCAAAGATCAAAAAAGACAAAGAAGGGCATTACATGATGGTAAAGGAATCAATGCAACAAGATGAGCCTACTATCATAAATATATATGCGCCCAATACAGGAGCACCCAGATTTATAAAGCAAGTTCTTAGAGACCTACAAATAGACTTAGACTCCCACACAATAATAGTGGGAGACTTTAACACCCCACTGTCAATATTAGATCAATGAGACAGAAAATTAACAAGGATATTCAGGGCTTGAACTCAGCTCTGGACCAAGCAGACCTAATAGACATCTACAGAACTCTCTACCCCAAATCAACAGAATATATATTCTTCTCAGCACCACATCACACTTATGCTATAATTGACCACATAATTGGAAGTAAAACACTCCTCAGAACATGCAAAAGAATGGAAATTACAACAAGCAGTCTCTCAGGCCATAGTGCAATCAAATTAGATCTCAAGATTAAGATCACTCAAAACTGCACAACTACATGGAAACTGAACAATCTGCTTCTGAATGACTACTGGGTAAATAAAGAAATTAGGGCACAAATAAATAAATTCTTTGAAACCAGTGAGAACAAAGACACAACGTACCAGAATCTCTGGGAAACAGCTAAGGCAGTGTTTAGAGGGAAATTTATAGCACTAAATTTCCACAGGAGAAAGCAGGAAAGATCTAAAATTGACACCCTAACATCACAATGAAAAGAATTAGAGAAGCAAGAGCAAACAAATTCAAAAGCTAGCAGAAGATAAAAAATAACTAAGATCAGAGCAGAACTGAAGGAGATGGAAATACGAAAAACCGTTCGAAAAATCAATGAATCCAGGAGCTGGTTTTTTGAAAAGATTTACAAAATAGACCGCTAGCCAGACTAATAAAGAATAAAAGCGAGAAGAATCAAATAGACACAATTAAAAATGATAAAGGGATATCACCCTCTTCTTTTCATGTCCTCACATGGCCTTTTCTGTGTGCATTCACATCCCTGGCACCTCTTCCCCTTTATAAGGACACTGACCATATTGGATTATGGTCTAACCCTTCTGACCTCATTTAACCTTAATCACTTATTCAAAGACCCTATCACCAAATGCAGTCAAAATGAGGGTTAGGGGTTCAAAATAAAAATTTGAGGAGGGGGAGACACAATTCAGTCTATAACAAGTATTAAATGTTATTAATTTTTGATATAGAACATTTTGTTCCAATGATTAAGCAAAGTATAAAGGCCAAATTGGAAAACTGATTTTATGTTCAAGTCAATAAAAGTTATATTTATTGTACATCTCTAGAGGTCTGAGAATATAAGCATTGTGGATCTATTCATGTTTCCTCTGCCCAGAACCTAACTACAGCATGGAGATGGCTACTTCAAGCTATAATCAAAGCTTTGGTAGGTGGCCCTTATTACCATCTAAACTAATGCTGTTTTCCAAGATCTCATAATGCCTGAATTATAAGCAATCAAATCAAATAAATGTTAAATCAGCCACTTTTTATATGGCTCCAAAATATAACATTATGCCTAAAGTTATCTGCAAAGGCTAAATAAATGACTGAACATTTGTTGCTCAGCCTACACTGTGCTGTCAAGGGTGACACTGGATACAACTATGTTATCTAATTGCAGTTGATCTCTTGAGGGAAATAAAGTTTATACATTAATATATTTTAAAGAAGGCCATATTTTACTTTTTAACAGATTTTTAGAGATATTTTGAAAGGAATTACATTAACAAAACCTTTAGTATGGCAGTGAATATAAAAATCTAGTATTTTATTAAAATTATCAGGAAATATTAAGAATTTCTGTTCTGCCAAGTAATATCAAGGATTCATCAAATGTAATTATCCAAGGATACTGTAGAAAAGAATTTAGCTGTGCTAAGATGAATGTATATGTACATATACACACACTATAACCTTATGACAAAAGAACAGTTAATTGTAAGATTCTCTATTTTTCCCACTTAAATAATGAAGTCCATGATTAAGTTTCCTGTATATCAGGTTTGACATGCTATAACCTGCTCAACTTTACCCTTAAGTAATTCTAAGGCAATCTTTTTTATGACTCACATATGTAAAAAGCTCATTTACCTTCTTTGTTCTCCATGATTTTTATTGTGTTTCCCATTTATTCTTATCGGTTTTGAACACTTGGTTCATTTCCATCTCTATCTTTTTCTATTCCAATTATTTTATACAAAACAGACATCAGTTTTTGTCTGCTTAGTTTGACCCTTGACATAGTTAAATATCATGTTTGAAAATTTCCCTGATGAAACACAGGGAAAATATAAAGCATTGGATATTTTGGCGGGTTGAATGTTTCAAAGAACAGCCACTGCTCTATTGTGAAAAGCAGAGAAGCTAATGAGAGGCCAAATGCTGATAACCGATAGTATGCAAAAGGAAATTCTTGTCGATGCAATGTTAATCTTCTAAATCCGTGTTTTGTCTTTAGTTCAATTTTTCATAGTATGTTCATGCTAAGATGCTTTTATCTTGACAAAGGTCTCCCTCTTGTCTCCCTTTCATTTTCTGAAGAGTCACCTCAGGTTTCAAGAGAGGTTACTTATTGATGCTCCAGCATTTGCCAACACATTTAGTTAAAAGAGAATTTGGTTTGCTATATTTCCTGTGTGTCTGGGGGATCTTTCTGGAGTATTATGCACATTACATTCCAGACAAAATCTTGTCAGAATGCCATAGACAATTTACTGATTAGTATACTAAAGCTATTATTTTCCAGAGCATGTTCTATTTACAGAAAGACTGTTAAGAAAAACTCCCAGTAGGTATTTATTTGAAATACATTTCTCTGACTTAATGTGTCTGCCTTCTTTAGAATATTTTATAGGAAAACAAAACATCTGTGATTAACACCTGTATCTCTTAAATGATGTTTCTAACACGTTATTTGAATTACATATGTTCAGAAAATATTTGAGAATATTTTCTAGTGTAAACACAACTCAAATATAGCAACCTGATTATTATTCAGCTGAATTCAGTAATATTATTGTATTTTTAAAATATCTTAATAATAAACAAGTACCTAAACTTTGAGTGGTATTTTAATGTAGACATTTTTGAAAATTCTATTTAAACAGGCAATACTTCTGACCTGTTGTTTTCTTTCACACTGAGGAAGCCTATTAGTACAACACTCTTGGCCTCTGTCTGCACCTTTTCTTAAATCCATTTTAGGAAAGGTTCTGTGGCTTATTTGGTTTGTAAATTTGGGAAGAGAAGGACAAGCACACTTGGTCTGGCTCTGTCCATATGCTTCTTAAATTCCACCTATTCACAGAAAATGCACATTTGGCTCTCTTCTCCCAGGAATAAATAGGTCTGTACTTTGGTAGACGGGCATCTGCCCTAGCCGGGCATGCTATTCTAGGCAGCTCTGTTAGCAGACTAACTTGGCTTTCTCACCAGGACCTACTCTCACCTTAGCCCTTTTATTTTATTATTTTTTCAATAATAAAAGGGCTATGTTAGCTTCATGTGGCTTGGTGCTTATTTTTCAATTGGTTAAGTACAAAGACTAATAATTTGGAATGCATTTGGTGGATATGCTAAGTATAGATTACAATTATACATCTATATTTTAATATACATTTACCAAATTTCAAAGGAAAAAATACAAATATAGATGAATTTTATAATACCTTTAATAGATTTTTGGTGTTTTTTTGTTTGATTTTGTTTTTGAGACAGTGTCTTGATCCATTGCTGAGGCTGGAGTGTGGTAGTGTAATCAAGGTTCACTGTATTCTTGACCTCTCAGGCTCAAGTGACGTTCCCACATCAGACTCCTGAGTAGCTGGGACTACAGGTGTGCATCACCACACCGAGATAATTTTTTATATTTTTTATATATACGGGGTCTCATTGTGTTGCCCAGGCTGCTTTCAAACTCCAGGATACAGGTGATCTACCTTCCTCGGCCTCTCAAAGTGCTGGGATTACATGTATGAACCACCTTACCTGGCCCATTATTAGGTCTTATAGAGATTATGTTGACGTGTGTACTTTTACTAACAGGTGATATTCATTTCCTTAGGCCATTAAATGCTTTTAAAAAATCAGTGTGCTTGGTGATGGAAAGGAGTAATGAAACCTCCGACTAAAGTTGTGGATTTCTCAATTTCTCCTTCCAGTATTATCAGTTTTTGTTCATGTATTGTGAATCTCTTTAATTCGGTGTATAAACATTTAGAATTGTTACGTAATCATTAAAATTGACCCTTTTATCAGTATGGAATTTCCCTTTTAATCTCAGATAATATGTTTTGCTTTTTGTCTGATAAGAATTGTACCAACGAGAACAAAGACACAACATACCAGAATCTCTGGGACACATTCAAAGCAGTGTGTAGAGGGAAATTTATAGCACTAAATGCCCACAAGAGAAACCAGGAAAGATCCAAAATTGACACCCTAACATCACAATTAAAAGAACTAGAAAAGCAAGAGCAAACACATTCAAAAGCTAGCAGAAGGCAAGAAATAACTAAAATCAGAACAAAACTGAAGGAAATAGAGACACAAAAAACCCTCCAAAAAATTAATGAATCCAGGAGCTGGTTTTTTGAAATTGATAGACCGCTAGCAAGATTAATAAAGAAGAAAAGAGAGAAGAATCAAATAGACGCAATACAAAATGATAAAGGGGATATCACCACTGATCCCACAGGAATACAAACTACCATCAGAGAATACTACAAACACCTCTACGCAAATAAACTAGAAAATCTAGAAGAAATGGATAAATTCCTCGACACATACACCCTCCCAAGACTAAACCAGGAAGAAGTTGAATCTCTGAATAGGCCAATAACAGGCTCTGAAATTGTGGCAATAATCAATAGCTTACCAACCAAAAAGAGTCCAGGACCAGATGGATTCACAGCCGAATTCTACCAGAGATACAAGGAGGAACTGGTACGATTCCTTCTGAAACTATTCCAATCAATAGAAAAAGAGGGAATCCTCCCTAACTCATTTTATGAGGCCAGCATCATCCTGATACCGAAGCCGGGCAGAGACACAACCAAAAAAGACAATTGTAGACTAATATCCTTGATGAACATTGATGCAAAAATCCTCAATAAAATACTGGCAAACCGAATCCAGCAGCACATCAAAAAGCTTATCTACCATGATCAAGTGGGCTTCATCCCTGGGATGCAAGGCTGGTTCAATATACGCAAATCAATAAACGTAATCCAGTATATAAACAGAACCAAAGACAAACACCACATGATTATCTCAATAGATGCAGAAAAGGCCTTTGACAAAATTCAACAACCCTTCATGCTAAAAATTCTCAGTAAATTAGGTACTGATGGGACATATCTCAAAATAATAAGAGCTATCTATGACAGACCCACAGCCAATATCATACTGAATGGGCAAAAACTGGAAGCATTCCCTTTGAAAACTGGCACAAGACAGGGATGCCCTCTCTCACCACTCCTATTCAACATAGTGTTGGAAGTTCTGGCCAGGGCAATTAGGCAGGAGAAGGAAATAAAGGGTATTCAATTAGGAAAAGAGGAAGTCAAATTGTCCCTGTTTGCAGATGACATGATTGTGTATCTAGAAAACCCCACTGTCTCAGCCCAAAACCTCCTTAAGCTGATAAGCAACTTCAGCAAAGTCTCAGGATACAAAATCAATGTACAAAAATCACAAGCATTCTTATACACCAATAACAGACAAACAGAGAGCCAAATCATGAGTGAACTCCCATTCACAATTGCTTCAAAGAGAATAAAATACTTAGGAATCCAACTTACAAGGGATGTGAAGGACCTCTTCAAGGAGAACTACAAACCACTGCTCAAGGAAATAAAAGAGGATACAAACAAATGGAAGAACATTCCATGCTCATGGGTAGGAAGAATCAATATCGTGA
Organism: Homo sapiens; assembly: GCF_000001405.40. Taxonomy (NCBI): domain Eukaryota; kingdom Metazoa; phylum Chordata; class Mammalia; order Primates; family Hominidae; genus Homo; species Homo sapiens. Next base: position 194,448,032 of record NC_000002.12, read on the forward strand.
AAATGGCCATACTGCCCAAGGTAATTTATAGATTCAATGCCATCCCCATCAAGCTACCAATGACGTTCTTCACAGAATTGGAAAAAACTACTTTAAAGTTCATATGGAACCAAAAAAGAGCCCGCATCGCCAAGTCAATCCTAAGCCAAAAGAACAAAGCTGGAGGCATCACACTACCTGACTTCAAAGTATACTACAAGGCTATAGTAACCAAAACAGCATGGTACTTGTACAAAAACAGAGATATAGATCAATGAAACAGAACAGATCCCTCAGAAATAAGGCCGCATATCTATAACTATCTGATCTTTGACAAACCTGAGAAAAACAAGCAATGGGGAAAGGATTCCCTATTTAATAAATGGTGCTGGGAAAACTGGAGAGCCATATGTAGAAAGCTGAAACTGAATCCCTTCCTTACACCTTATACAAAAATTAATTCAAGATGGATTAAAGACTTAAATGTTAGACCTAAAACCATAAAAACCCTAGAAGAAAACCTAGGCATTACCATTCAGGACATAGGCATGGGCAAGGACTTCATGTCTAAAACACCAAAAGCAATGGCAACAAAAGCCAAAATTGACAAATGGGATCTAATTAAACTAAAGAGCTTCTGCACAGCAAAAGAAACTACCATCAGAGTGAACAGGCAACCTACAAAATGGGAGAAAATTTTCGCAACCTACTCATCTGATAAAGGGCTAATATCCAGAATCTGCAATGAACTCAAACAAATTTACAAGAAAAAAACAAACAACCCCATCAAAAAGTGGGCGAAGGACATGAACAGACACTTCTCAAAAGAAGACATTTATGCAGCCAAAAAACAAATGAAAAAATGCTCACCATCACTGGCCATCAGAGAAATGCAAATCAAAACCGCAATGAGATACCATCTCACACCAGTTAGAATGGCAGTCATTAAAAAGTCAAGAAACAACAGATGCTGGAGAGGATGTGGAGAAATAGGAACACTTTTATACTGTTGGTAGGACTGTAAACTAGTTCAACCATTGTGGAAGTCAGTGTGGTGATTCCTCAGGGATCTAGAACTAGAAATACCATTTGACCTAGCCATCCCATTACTGGGTAGATACCCAAAGGACTATAAATCATGCTGCTATAAAGACACATGCACACGTATGTTTATTGAGGCTCTATTCACAATAGCAAAGACTTGGAACCAACCCAAATGTCCAACAATGATAGACTGGATTAAGAAAATGTGGCACATATATACCATGGAATACTATGCAGCCATAAAAAATGATGAGTTCATGTCCTTTGTAGGGACATGGATGAAATTGGAAATCAGTATTCTCAGTAAACTATCGCAAGAACAAAAAACCGAACACCTCATGTTCTCACTCATAGGTGGGAACTGAACAATGAGAACACATGGACACAGGAAGGGGAGCATCACACTCTGGGGACTGTTGTGGGGTGGGGGGAGGGGGGAGGGATAGCTTTAGGAGATATACCTAATGCTAAATGACGAGTTAATGGATGTAGCACACCAGCATGGCACATGTATCATATGTAACTAACCTGCACATTGTGCACATGTACCCTAAAACTTGAAGTATAATAATAATAAAATAAAATAAATAAAAATAAAAAAATCCAAAAAAAAGAAAAAAAGAATTGTTCCCTAAGCTCTAGTGGGATTCTTTTTCTTTAGACTTGGGCAGTTTTCTTATACATTTGTACTGATGAATACACAGATAAAGACTCAAATCTGGAGATTTCTGGATCTCTCTATGAAGATCTCTTCTCCCAATACTCTACAAATTCTAGCCAATTTATCCTTTATAAACTCTCAAATCCCTCTTGTTAACTTTATGAGTTTTCCAGGCTCCACTTGGGTATTCCCACCTTTACTCTCCCAAGGAAGTAAGTTGGAGCAATCATATGGCTTACTTGATTTCTTTCTTTTTATTCAGTGATAATTGTCACATGTTGCCTGATGTCTAATTGTGAAAATCATTGCTTGGATAATGGGGAAAATAAGCGCTTTCTACTAACTCAGAATTTGTGAGAAATAAAGCAGACTAAGAACAATAATTAACAATACTTAATTTAGGAATAAAATGTATGTCTTTGGATAACAAAGTATACATGGTATACTTTTGGCAAATAATCTGGGAAATTTGTTCTGCATTAGGCAACATTTCCTGGGTTTGTTGTGTTTATAAATGTCAGCTGAATTACAAACGAAAACAATTATCAATGTCGGTTAAGGTAACAATAGAAGCTCTAACAGATAAAAATTCCATCTCAAGGCTGGGCGCAGTGGCTCACACCTGTAATCCCAGCACCTTGGGAGGCCGAGGCAGGTGGATCACGAGGTCAAGATATAGAGACCATCCTGGCCAACATGGTGAAACCCCATCTCTACTAAAAATACAAAAATTAGCTGGGCGTGGTGGCGCACGCCTGTACTCCCAGCTACTCAGGATGCTGAGGCAGGAAAATCACTTGTATCCGGGAGGCGGAGGTTGCAGTGAGCCGAGATCTCACCACTGCTCTCCAGCCTGGTGACACAGCTAGACTCTGTCTCAAAAAAAAAAAAAAAAAAAAAAAAAAAAAATATATATATATATATATATATATATATATATATATATATATATATAATAAAAATGAATGCATTTCTTACCCACACCACAATTCAGTGCAGCTCTATATAAGGTGATATAGGAATTCAGTCTTCTCCTGTCTTGGAGCTATAATTTGGAGCTTTCAAGAAGGAGTGAAAGAAGAAAGAAATGGTGGACAATGGACAGTGAGTGGCTCCTTAACCACAATAGTATAAAAGAGGTAACACACCTACTCACAGTCTATTATTAAAAACATAGTTATATACAAAACACCCATAATAAAAAAGAACATGTAGGTTGCTTTCAGAATGGTGGTTATAAGTTACCAGACTATTTAAGTAAAGTATTTGTGTATAGACATAGGTCTTCAGTTCTCCATGGTAAATACCTAGCATGTTAAATATCTAGGTCATATGGAAGTTACATGTTTAAATTAATAAGAAACTGCGAATGGTTTCTCAAAATGGTTTTATCATTTTAAACTCAGCATTATTTTTGAGTTTGATCTTCTCATCAACATTTGATATTGCCAATCTTTCCTACGTAAGCCACTCTAGAGGGCATTTAACGGCACCCCATTATACTTTAGTTTCCATTTATTTAAATAACTAAAATTATTGAGCAATTTAACTTTTTTAGCTTTTAGTATATTATCTTTTGTGGAACATCTGTTGCATTATTTCTCTATTTTTAAATAAGATTTTTATCTAAGGTATAATATTTCTTGAAAGATACACGCATATCAACCATTTTCTTTCAGCTGATAATTTATATTTTTATTTTCCTAAGTGAGCTTTTTGAAAACTAAAAATATACATTTTTCATGAGATTCAATTTAACAATTGCTTTTTCCTTTTACCTAAAGTGCATGGCATGTTTGTCTCTATTTCTGATATTTAAGAAAACTTTCTTTTTGCAAGACCAGGATGATTTATCAAATATGATATAAAAATCAAACTTTTATATTTAGGTTTATCATCAATTATTTTACATCACTAGCAAAGTATAATTTACAAACAATAAAATTATCCAATTTTGCATCGTTGTGGCTAGTGTAAACTGTTTATGGAACAATGGAAAAAGTGATATAGAACATGTTAATCTTTCTACAAAATGAAGGACATTAAGTCAGTTACCTCTCTTTGTTCTATCTATTGGAAAACACTGATCTGCTTTCCATATTACATGTTAGTATGACTGTGTTCATATTAATGGAATTGTGAAGGATGCATATTGTTTCACCTGGCAGGTTTGTTGAATTTATCAGTTGGTCATTCTGTTTAATTGCTGAGCAGTATTCCACTGTGTGTGTGTGTGTGTGTGTGTGTGTGTGTGTGTGTGTGTGTGTGTGTGTGTCTTTTGGGGGGAAGGGGTATCTATATTTCTAGAGATGAATAATTATTTTTAGGTTTTGATTCTTATAAAGTTTCTATGAATATTCACATACAAGTCTCTGTGTGTGACTATTTGGTTTCATTATTTTGGAGTAAATACCTAATGCATGATTTTCTGGGTCATATGATGAAAGCGCACACATTATAAAATATTACAAAACTGTTTTTCAAAATGTTTGTAAAATATGCCAATTCCACCATCAATGTACAAGATTTCCATTTTGCTTTGCAACGTCATCAACATGTGGCTTTCTCAGTCTCTTTGATTTTAATCATTGTAGTGGAGGTCTGATAATATTGGTTTGCAGTTTGGTTTTTACATGTGGCATGATATAGTGGTTGAAGTTCATTTTTCAAAATATAGATTTGAGTCCTTACTATACAATTTCTTGAAAAGATTATGCTATCTCCCATTGAAGTATCTTGGCATCTTCTTTGAAAATGGATAAACTGTAAGTCTGTAAGTACAATTGTAAGCTTTGTATCTTTATCATTGGTCTACATATTTTTATTATGATCACATTGTTCTGTTTACCTTTTATAAAGAAGGTCTACAGATAATGTAGCAAAGCGATTTTCTCAGCTAAAGTTCTTAACTTATTCACATACACATACTTAAGTTACTTAACTTACACACATACACACGTGCTTACACATATGCACGCACACATGCACGTTTCAAACACACATATGCACACATTGACACACACATATACACATGCACACACACCTGCACATACACATATACATGTATGCACATAAAAATAAATTTAAAAGTTTACTTTTAAATTTAAATCAACTTGTGACTATCTAAACACAGTATTCCTGGGATTTCTATTTTGATTGGAGTTGCCTCGAATCCAGTGATCATTTTTGGAAGAAATGACATCTTAATAATATTGGGACTTATTATCAAAAAATGTGATATATATCTCCATTTATTTAATTACTTTCAACAATGTTTTATATTTTTCATTGTAGACATCTCACAGTTAAAAATCTTTTTTATTTTATGTTTTTGCTATCATAAATGCTATTTTTTAATATTTCATTTTCCACTTGCTTTTTTCCACTTATAGAAATACAATTTATTTTTATATGCTGATCTGTAACCTGCTGTATTCACTTATTTGTTCCAGTATTTTATTTGTTTTTGTAGATTCATAAACTATGTTTACGAAAGAGTTTGTTTTATTGTCTCATTGCAATGGCTATCATGTCATTTAACACATTCAATAGAGGTAGTAGAACTGACATTTTTGCTTTCTTCCTGCTGGTAAAGATAAAGTGTTCAGCTCTTCACCATTATATGGGATATTTGATGTTTTTTTGCAGATATGCTTTCTATGTTGAAGAGGGTTCTGCAACCTATTCCTAGTCTGCTGAAAGCATTTATCACTAATTGATGCTGCATTCTGTCAAATGCTTTTTCTGCATCTATTGAGATGATTTCCTAATTTTCTATCTTTGTTCTATTTGTATAGTGAGTTTCCTTGATTCTCAAATGGTAAATCAACTGCATTCACTGGATGAATCCTATTATTCATGGTCTATTATCTTAAAAAAATTACTGTTTTTTTTTTAATGTTTGCCTCTAGGTTCACAATTTTTTTTTTCAATATCATTGCCAGTTTTCTGAGTCATGGTATTCTGGCTTCACACAATAAGTTCTCACTATTCTATTTTTTTATATGTTATGAAGGATTTTGTTAATTTTTCTATTAAAGAATTCAACAGTGAGCTATCTGGACCTAAAATTTCTTTGTGGGAAAGTAAATTTATAAATTCATTAACTATAATTTATAAATATACTTTATTTAATAAATATATAACTATTCAAATTTCCTCAATTAATTTATCAATTTAATCTAAGTTGTGGAATTTATTGATATATGATTGTCACAGTCCCTTATTGTCCTTTGATAACATGTAGGAACTGCAGTAATATTTTTTTGCTGAAATCAGTTATTTTTGTTTTTTAAAGAAGATTAATAAACTTAAATGATCTTCCAAAACAGTAGCTTTTGTTTTGAGTATTTTCTTTATTCTCCACCTGTTTCTTAATCAATATTTTAAGCACTTTGAACTGTCTCATAACATAATAAAATTGTTACATGTTTTCAATCAGCTGAAGTACTAAGAAAAGGGAAAATGTTAAAGTATGTTTTGTCATCACTATTACCAGTAAATTTTATATATGTGAAAATCAATTCTGAAAGACGACTTTTGTGAAACAGCTTTCTCCACACACACACACACACACACACACACACACACACGCACACACACACAATCACGAAAGGCCATATAGAGGGTATTTTATTTCACTATAAGATGCCAAATATTTTACAGTCCTAACTTACTAAATCTTATTCATTATCTAAAATAACAACACATTGCAATTCATAACATAAATAATTATATGCATGAACTACTCAGTAGGAAACTTATTTCTGTTTTGATCATGAAATTATTATATTTTGGTAAGAATTATCTTTTGGTATTAAAAACAAACTTGGTCTTCTTTGAAATGTGATGTCAGAATGGCTATAGTTGTGTAAAAATATCCTTATTTATGATCTCATCAATCAGAACCAATTATTTTTTTCTCTGTGTTATCTTTCTAGATCACTACAATCTCCTTTCAATCTTATATCTCATGGACAGCTTGGATCAATAATCATCTGATTGTCTTTAATAAATTATTGCCCTTTTAGTTGAACCATCTTCCTAATACTTCATTATTTAACCAAAACTAATTTTGAATAAATACGTTTAATCTTTCTCCCATTACATTTCCTTGCACTTCAGATGTGAATATAACTGTAATTTCATCAATCTGAGTTATATTGTAAGGACATCTTACAAATTTTGTAAATATATTTTTGAGAGACTGCCCAGTGCATAACTATCCAATATATTAGAGACACCAACTCTTAGTTTTTGTGTTTCTAAAGTCTGTGCTATGTTTAATCTAATAGTTGTTCTTAATTTGTTTAAATCCTTTTCTGCAAATGAATCTGTTTTGTTAATGATGATGATATCTGCTAATGCACTCTTCTTAGTAGTTTCATTGATAAGGCCATCAATTTTTTACTTTGCTGAATGTCTAATTACTTAAGGATCACTGGAAACCAGTTGACGGCATCTTTATGAACGCTGTGACACTTCCTTTATGGTAATCTACCCTGCAGTTCCAGTTGACTCAGTCCTACCTCTGTCTCTTGGTTTAGCCAGACAACTATCTTCCGCTGGGGTTCCCATTCCCTGTGACATGGTATAGAATATGCCTCTAAGAAGCAAAGGTGAACCTACTTTGTTTCCCTTTGCTCAGAAATTGTAATGCTGTGCTGCCTTTAATCAATGTTGAAAAATGGTATTTTAAAATATATTTTTTCAAGATCAAATACCTAAATATACAATGACTCCTTTGTTTGATAATCAATTAGATTAAGAAACTCAAAGCAAATGAAAGGGACTAAACGTCTGAATCCAGCTTGACATTTATTTCAGTATTATTTACACAGGCCGAAGTTCTCTCCTATTTTAAATCTTTATCAACAGGAGGTCAAAAGTGCTTGGATGTCAATAGGTAATAAAAAAAACCTTTCCAAAGTGCTTCATAAATATTTTTTGGGGCATATAAAGGGTGTTTTTTTATGTTGCAACAACCTATTTGCAATATAGTTTTCAAATAAATTTAAATAGATTATAAATAGATTATTTGCAGTAACATCTTTTGCTACAGATCCAAAAGTTTACATATCTGGAAAAATAAATTAGCAATGCTATTGCAAACTTTTCATTTAAAGCAAATGATTTTCCCATTGTTGACAATATAGAAAAATAACAAAAGTTAACAAAAGGGCACAAAGGAAAGGGAATGCATAAGAAATGCATTTCATGATAAATCACACATGGATAACAGCAACTTACTTTTTAACAACATAGAAAAGTCACCACTGAAAGGTGTATATTTTCCTTTCATGAGAATAGACCTTACTTTGCACAGTCCTATATATTTTATTTGATTTATTTTTCCTACCATTTTCTTCCACTGCATTCTTGATTCTATCTTCAAGAACAATTCTTTACTGAAATAATAACAACAATTTACAGTATTTTAACATTTTTTGAAAGCGGGCACATGGAGTTAGCCACTCATAACTAAATGCACATACTGTAGGCAAAAAAATCCATTAAGAAAATTTGGAACCAGTATTTCTACTGAAATTCGCAGCATGACACAAAGCAGAGCTAAAAAAAAAAAAAACTTGTTACCACCATTATAGGATTGAACATAATGGGAAGTTAGGGTATTGCCCTGACAATAGCAACCACAGAAATTGATTCAGTTTGTATTTTTGCCCAGAACAAATTACTATGTTACATTAAAACACATTTTGTGTTGTGTTTTAAGAATTTAGAGAATTTTATTTTCAGAGTAATATAAAATCATGGACTATGAGGGAAGTTGATTACTCCTAACAAAATATGCATATTAAGATGAAATTACAGACAGCTTTCTGAACTTCAAAAGAAGACATAAATAAGTAAGGTAAATCATTTGGAACGATTGCAGAAATGGGATAAAATATGTTGATGACAAATTTCTAGAAAAATTGTCTAATTCTAACTAAATGTGTCTATACAGTAAGAGAGCCACTGAAGATTAATTTCAAAATTCAGGATTTCAAAACATTTGTTATAATCATTAATGTTATTGATATATATTACTGATTCACAAACCTTAAATTAGGGTTACTTATATTCAAAGTCTCTTAAATATTTAGACCCATAATTTAGAATTAAGTTCAGCTATAGCTACTATTTAAATAGATGAATAATAGTTTAAGAACTTCTATTTATTGTGTACATATAATATGCCATTCACTTATGTACTACTAAAGTTGCTTGCTGGGCATGGTAGTGGTGATATACATTGTTTGTTGATTTCTGTGCTGTGAATACTCTCCTATTATGGCTACTTTAAAGTTATCAGTAAAATGTCACTGAACAGGAGCTGGAAAAAGATGCCTATGTTTGGCTTTTGAAAGCCACTGTGAGCTGATTCCTGCACAAAAAAAAATATCTGTCAGGAAGATATTCTGCAACATTTTGAGGTAATGATGATCATTCTTTCTTACACATATTGAAAATTGTGGTGTTAAGTATCAGTGCATTTACCAATTGCATGCCTCTGGAATAGAAAAGAAAGAATTGAAACTCCAGTTCTTTCTCCGCACAGACCTAAAATCTGCATATATACACACTCATACATATATAATCTTAAGGTTGTAATGGAGAAAGTCTCTAAAAAGAATATTCTAGCAGTTGTTATATATTTATATTATTTTCCTTTTCACTCGTTTAATTATATGGACCCATTGAAACCAAGCAAGAAACAAATATAATTCATTGATTCTTACTGATGTTTACACTAGGTTTTTTAATTGTGCTACTTAAGTTTTTAAACAGGAGTTCTCAGACAGGATTTTAAATTGAAGTTTTTAAATTATTCAAGATATGTGATGCAATGGTACATGGCTTTCTCTGTATTGCTCCATTTCTCAAATATTTGATTTTAGTGGACAATTATTAAGCCTCCCCTGTTATATAAATATGACTGTTGCTTTTTATGAAACCAATTGAGCAAGCATAATTTGCTTCCAAACCTCATTCATATTTAAATAGGAATAAATTTATATATATTAGGCTGTATTTTACTGTCATTGCAGAAAGTTATTTATAACCCACCTGTAAGACAACTTTGGTAAGTGCTGCTTCTATAAACAATTCACTAACACATAAGTTGCAAATTAAAACTTACTAAAGCATTTTGGAGTCCAAATTAAGACTCTGAAATCTGTAGAGCAGTGGAGAACAAGGGCTGATTGACCAAATCTAAATTTTCTTTTGATAATCTCTTTGATATACTTTAAAAAAAATTATGACTTTTAGGCCGGGTGCAGTGGCTCATGCCTGTAATCCAAGCACTTTGGAAGGCCGAAGAAGGAGGATCACTTGAGTTTAGGAGTTTGAGACCAGCCTGACCGACATGGCAAAACCTGGTTTCTACTAAAAATTAAAAAATTAGTTGGGTGTGGTGGCACGTGACTGTATTCCCAACTACTCCAGAGCCTAAGGCAGGAGAATCACTTGAACCCAGGAGGTGAAGGTTGCAATGAGCCAAGATTGCACCACCACACTCCAGCCTTGCCAGAGCAAGACTCTGCCTAAAAAAAAATAAATAAAATTTTAAAAAAGTGTTTTTTGTTTTATTTAGAAGAAAGATTTTCAGATTTCACAATGCTATCTTTTATTTTGGCTGTAAAATTCTGATAGAAGAAAAGCAATAAAATATTTCAAATCTTTGTACCCCATAATCAAGCTATTTAATGAAGTTGCTTTGGTAACTGATTCACTGGAGAGATTTAGAACTTATAATATTCCTGATAATTTCATCTTTGGAAATGCTATGCCCAGTTTGAGAGAATGCCCTTCTAAAAAAAGTGGTCTTTAGCTGAGAGAGACTAGCTTCTCCTAATTCCGGGTCTATGCTTCTTCATGAAAGAAGGAAAATATTGCTAGCCAATTCAGATGCCATGTATGCCAAACTCACTCACAATAATGTTTACTCAAACCTGGTGCTAATATTATTCTCCTGACAAAATATTGTTATTTCTTATCCCATGAAAAGGAGTTATAATAATTCTGCAGCTTCTTATTGGCTTAGAATAATGTTTCCCCAAGTGTGCTCCATGAAGTTGTTGACCTGTAACATTTAATAAGAATTACTTAAAGTAAAACGATGATCAAATACACCCCAGAAACTTACAGTTGTATAGTTGTTTTCATGCTGCTAATAAAGACATACCCAAGGCTGGGTGTTTTATAAAGGAAAGAGGTTTAATTGACACACATGACTGAGGAGGCCTTGGTAAACTTACAAACATGGCAGAAGGCACCTCTTCACAGGGTGCCAGGAGAGAAAATGAGAGTCGAGCAAAGGAAGAAGCCCCTTATAAAACCATCAGATCTCATGAGAACTTACTCATTATCACAAGAACAGCAGCATGGAGGTAACTGTCCCCATGATTACATTACCTCTCGCCAGGTCCCTCTCATGATACATGGGGAGTATGGGAACTACAATTCATGATGAGATTTGGATGGGAACACAGACAAACCATACAACTAAGGAAACTTAGAAGATTAGAATCAACCCTGCTATGTTCCATTGGAACTGTGGAAGTATTGGTAGGAAAAAAAAACAGCTAATAAAA